>NC_000003.12:131129816-131281331 GCF_000001405.40 Homo sapiens | reverse complement strand
ATTTATCTGAATATATTTTTAAATGAAAGGATGAGCCCTGAAATTTTTAAACATGGAAGGGAGGAAATAGGGCAAGGGATCAAGGATAGAAGCTAGTCTTCATTAAATATGGCTTTTAATAGATCTGACTTTGGACCCATGGAAACATGTTACATAATTAACAAAAGTATTAAAACAAAAGCTGTTTAAAAAAATGTGAAGCAAAAGAAATCAATAAACCTGTGTATACCCACACATACAGTGTGATTCAGCTGAGTGTAGACCAGCACGTGCATGTGAGGAGATTACTGAGCTGAGAGAGGGAAGGACACGAGAGGATGAGAGAGAATAGTACTTGGGGCTCACATTGGGCCATGAATAGTGCCTCTTCAGACCTTCATACTTGCCAAACTGGTAAACCTGGTCATTCATCAGCCATTGCATAGAGAACCCAGAAGGGTCTTGCTGCAGTAATGGGAAATAACCAGCTGTAGCCTAAATGCTGCCCTGGTCCCACATAACAAAGCTCAAAAGTAAAAACCAAAAGTATCAAACTGCTTCCAAGCAACTAAAACAAAGATCCCGGCTATTTATTGGAATACAGAATTATCCAACACCCACACAGGGTGAGTTTTAACTCACAATGTCAAAGACATCAAAATAATTAGTATAACTGTACTCTACTTGTTAAATAGAGGAAATATTGAACATGTTAAACAGAGACAAGAAAGATGTAACAAAAAGACTCAAACCAAACTTCTAGAGATGAAAACTTAATGTCTAAGATGAAGAATACACTGAATGTTCCAGTCAATTTTGCTATGAATCTCAAACTGCTTATAATGTCTATTTATAAACATACACTGAATGAGATTAACAGTAGATTAGACATTGCAGAAGAAAAGATTAATAAATTTTAAGACATAGCAAAAGAAACTATCCAAAATGACAGACAGAGAGGGAAAAAAAAGCCTTAAAAAAAAAGAGCATAGCACCAGTAAGCTGTGGGACAACTTCAAATAGCCTACTATATGTGTAATTGCAGTTCCTAAAGTGGAGAACACGTATCCCTACAAAGATTATTTTTTTCCTGTGCTCACTGCATGAATTGGCAATGCAAAGGTGATTCAGAGAATGTCACCAGAAAATGATGCCATCCCTGTCATTAAACTGTTTCTTAGGGCCCAGATGTTTTTCAGGTCCCTGACTTCCAATTGGAAAAGTGGGCTCAGAAGCTCCCCCAGATTCTCAGGCCTTTTCCATTATTGAGCTTTTTAGTGAGGTGGATCTGATCCCTAGAAATCTCAATAGAGCAAGATGAAGGAGACTCCCTCTACTCACACTGTTTCCAGGAACTAAGGCCTCCCAGCCATTGCAAAAAGCTGACAAGTCTGACAGGGAAACCAGCAGTTCAGCCTCAAAATTTTCTGGGTAGCAAGTTTCTCTAACAGCAGACTCTTACTGGGGACAGAAACCTTCGGGACCGCTGCTAGTGAGGTGCCTGTGACTTTAATGCCAGACCTGAGTCTCCTTGTGACAGTTCTGTGGAGAATGAAGTTATTCAAAATTGCAAGGCTCTAGCATATGACTATGCATAGATCTAGATCCATATTCATAACTAACTATCCAGTTACAATGGGGGTCTATGATGCTAAGTGATGATTTCACTAATATGACATTATAAAAAGGAAAAACTATAGGGACAGAAAGTAGACCATGGTTGTGAGGTACAGGGTATGGTGGGAGGAGCTGACTACAAAGGGGGAGCACAGGGAATTTTCGGGGACAGAGAACCGTTCTATAATAATCTTGATTGTGCTGATAATTATACGACTATTTGCACTTGTCAACACTGATAGAACTGTTTACTAAAAAGAGTGAATCTTATTGTATACAAATCAAAATTTATAGAACTATATATAAAAAGAGGTGAGTTTTGCTGCATGTAAATTATATACTCCTTATTAAAATAAATGGAAAATAAGTGAATTTATTTTATTTTTTGAGACCGAGTTTCGCTCTTGTTGCCAAGTCTGGAGTGCAATGGCGTGATCTCAGCTCACTGCAACCTGTCTCCTGGGTTCAAGCGATTCTCCTGTCTCACCTTCCCTAGTAGCTGGGATTACAGACGTGTGCCACCATGCCCGGCTAATTTTTGTATTTTTAGTAATTTAGGCTGGTCTCAAACTCCTGACCTCAGGTGATCAATCTTCCTTGGTCTCTCAAAGTGCTGGGATTACAGGTGTGAGCTGCCACTCCCAGCATAAGTAAATTTTTAAAAGTCAAAAATATTAGGGCCTTAAAACATAAATATATTAATATATTTTATATAATATTTGATTTTTATTAAGACTGATTCCAACTCACATTCTGGTAACAAATGTCTCAAACTTTAATGTGTATATGAATTTCTAAATAGTTTAAAATTCAGATTCTGATTCAGGAGGGAGGGGGCCAGAGAGTTTGCATTTCTCACGGGTTTCCAGATGATGTCCCTGGTGCAGGTCAGGGACCACACTCTAAGTAGTAAGGCACAGGACACCAGTGGTCTTACTTGATGTATAAAGCTGAGGCCAAGAGGATAATTCATTTAGATAGAGCAGGCCCTTCATGTACATTGCCTTGGCCTCTGTGAGTTAAAGGACCAGTCTTAGTCACAGTGGCCCCTTGCCCTCCTCAGAGCTGAAAGCTGACGAGCCGTCATTCCACAGGGTCTCCTTTTTGGCTTCTAGTGGGAGCATGGAGCCAGGCCTGGAATTTAATCTGGCTTGAGGTGTAAAAAAACAAAAAAAAACAAAACAAAACAAAAAACTTTTTTGAACAGAAACCCTTTCCTGAGAGCAGAAGTTTCAGGAGGACCATGGAGCCACAAAGGCCCACTTATCCACCCGTTCACCCATCCATCCACCTACCTATCCATCAATTCATCTATCCATTCATCATTTATCTATCCATACATGAATAGCAACCACTCTTCAAATGTACATGGAAATTCCTCAGTCAGAAAAGAAGTCAACACTGACTTCTTGTCATTTTGCCAACATTCCAATGACTTTGAGCAGTACCACCTAATAACTTCTGAGAGCTGATGTTGTTTGTGCACCAGTAGGGGAGTTTCATTTATGGAGTAGTCTCCCTGCAAGAGTGAGAAGTGGCTGTGGCCAGAAGTCAGTTGGAGAATGGCAAATGTCTGGAATTTATATTAAACAACTTCATGGCATTTTCTCAGAGAATTGGCACTAGCACTTTTCGCATGCTAAAAAGATACTACATGCATGTCTTAACAAACAGCTGCTTCACTTACCAATGCCCTCAGGTATAAAACATCACAAACACATGTCAACACCTTCAGACACTTGGCTTGGGGATTTTCAAAGTGAAGCAACCACACATATATTGAGAGTCTAAGTTGTTAACATTTACTGAGCACTTACTATGTGCCATAAACTATTCTTAGTGCATTTCATACATTATCTCAACTCACCCTAACAACAACTCTATGAGGCAAAAATCATTATTAGTCCCACTTCACAGATGAGAAATCTGAGGCCCAAAGAGTTTGGTTAACTTGTCCAAGGACACATATTAGTCAGTGGCAAGGAGGGATATAAATCCCAGCAGCTTGCCCCCTGCATCTTCCCTTCTGACCACTGTGCTAGGGTCTACTCTATGCCTGACATCGCATATATTAATACTTACAAAGCCCCAGGGCCCCCAGTTTAGAGAACTTGGAGAAGGATGGCAGCATGATCACCAGGTGTGTTGCCACCCAACTTCTTCATAGAGGAGACGACAAAGTCATTTGCCTGATATCCTTAAACTGTCACACACTAAGTAAGCCTTCAGGCACTACTTACTGAGCTGGAAGGTTCTTTCTTAACTAGATCTTGCCTTTGCTTATGTAACAATGGGGAAGGCTGTGGAGGGGGCAGATGTGGTAGGGAAATTTAGGAGTTCAGTTTTGGAAATCCTGAGCTTGAGATGCCTAATGGACATCCAAGGGAAAGTGTCAAAGAGCAGATCAAAATTCACATATTTATTTAAATACTTATGGATATAACATATGATGAATAGGACTTCCTTAAAAGTAACATGTGAGAACAGGTGGAAGTATAGAAAAACAAGATTGGTCATGGGTGATAACTGTTAAACTGGTTGGGTTGATTAGTCTACAGAAAAATTATACTACTCTGACTACTTTTATATGTGGCTGAAACTTCCTATAATTAAATGTTTAAAAGTTCAGGACAAACAATATTTCTTATGTAGGCTACCACCAAAAGTGTATAACCTGAAGCTCATAATGAGGAAACAACAGACAAACCCACAGTAAGAGATATCTTACAAAACAACTGGCCTGCACTCTTCAAAAATGTCAGTGTCATGAAAGATGAAGAATGACTAAGGAACCATTCTAGAGTAAATACACCAAAGAGACATAGCAACTGAGTGTAATGTGTGATCCTGGCTTGTATCCTGAATCAGAAAAACAATTGCTATAATGGGTATTATTGGGATAATCAATGAAATCTGAATATGGATTTGTATGTTAAATAATAGTATGTACTGATGTGAAATTTCCTGAATTCAATCATCATACTATGGTTATATTAAGAGAATGTTCTTGTTTTTAGAAGCTACTCATTTAAATATTTAGGGTTGAAGAATCATGAAGCATGGAATCTATTCTCAAACGGATCAGTAATAATAATAATTTATAAGTGTATATGTATATATATTATATAGATAGATATAAAGAAAAATTACAAAAATGTGACAAAGTGTTAACAACTGGCAAATCCAGATGAAGTCTATACTGGTAAATACAGAAGTGAACATCTTGTTCAGTCACGGCCCCTTCCCAGAGTGGCCCACATGCAATGTCTGATTGACTTGGGGTTACAAAGGCCCTCTTGTCCCAACTCAGCACAGTTCTGCAGGGCCATCTAGCCCCAGAACTCCCAATGGGGTTGGCAGAGGCCTCTAATGACCCATGTCACAGCTTGACTTCTCCCTGACCAGTCTGCTTCCTTCCTCCTCCTTTCTACAGGTGTTGGTCTCCAGAAGATTCCCTCACAAACCTCCTCCTACACATTAATCTCCATCTCTGAGTATGCTTCCTGGGAATCCAGCTGTGGCAATTAATATGACCATTTTATAGATAAAGAAACTGAATCTTAGAAAATCACTTGTCAAAGGTTAGACAGCCATTTATTAGTGAAGCCAAGACTCAGACACCAAATCTGCTGACCTCCAGCTTCTCCTCCTTTTTCTTTACCTCTCCAAATTACATCCCTCTGTGAAGGCCAAGGTGAAGGCTAAGTCCCTGCTTCTCCCAGAGGTCTCCCAACTTCCCCTTTCTGATCTTAGAGCTCTCATCATCTATTTGGCTCATGGCCATGCTCCTATTTGGGGACTTTTCTTAATTATCACCTCATATTACATAACCACTATGTTGTCATTTAACGTTTTGCATTTGAAGTTTTGTGTTTTCTCTACATTATAATCTCTATGGAGACAAATGTCATTAACTATTCTTCTTGGCATCCCAATAGTTGCCATCCATATGCTGAGCATGCAGTATATCACAGTGCAGAGAAAGAACAGCAAGATTTCCTCTCTCTGGCTGGCTTCTAAGTCTTTGAAACTGAGAAAACACAACATGCTCAAAAGACATGCAGATTTGCAGCCTTGATTTCCTTTTGCCTTTTCTGGAATGGCATAAGGATTCACAATATAAAATATAAAAGGATGGCAGGTTATTCCACTAGAGGAGCAATACCATCCATGGGGGAGTAACCCAAACTGCAGTAGCCCACATGAAAAAGGTGAGCCAGAAAGTACTTGGTCAATTACAGCCAAGCAATAAGGAGAAAAAAAACAACACACTAGGAATAAAATCATTAGAATGCATCTTGGCCAATTAATTTAGCAAAATATTTTCATTTTAATTATTTAAAACATTTCATAATATGCTAGGAAATGGGGTATTGTGTACTTTGCAAAAGTAATGAAGTCTTAGATCAAAAATCTGACACCACATTGTTAACTTTTACGGGTAAAATAAGCAAACCACTTTTCTTCTCTTTAAAGACTATCAACTGGGAAATTAGCAACACCTTCTATATTATCTCCTCCAAGCAAGGAGAGGTGGAGGTAGTTTCCCTCTACAGAGGGAAAAATTAATCCATACTCCCTCACTTTCAATTTCTGGGAATCAGTTCTTGCCATGGTAATTATGTTATTATAAGACCACTCTCAAAAGAAGACATTTATGCAGCCAAAAAAACACATGAAAAAATGCTCATCATCACTGGCCATCAGAGAAATGCAAATCAAAACCACAATGAGATACCATCTCACACCAGTTAGAATGGCAATCATTAAAAAGTCAGGAAACGGCCGGGCGCGGTGGCTCACGCCTGTAATCCCAGCACTTTGGGAGGCCGAGGCGGGTGGATCACGAGGTCAGGAGATCGAGACCATCCTGGCTAACAAGGTGAAACCCCGTCTCTACTAAAAATACAAAAAATTAGCCAGGCGCGGTGGCAGGCGCCTGTAGTCCCAGCTACTCGGGAGGCTGAGGCAGGAGAATGGCGTGAACCCGGGAAGCAGAGCTTGCAGTGAGCCGAGATTGCGCCACTGCAGTCCGCAGTCCGGCCTGGGCGACAGAGCGAGACTCCGTCTCAAAAAAAAAAAAAAAAAAAAAAAAAAAAAAAAGTCAGGAAACAACAGGTGCTGGAGAGGATGTGGAGAAATAGGAACACTTTTACACTGTTGGTGGGACTGTAAACTAGTTCAACCATTGTGGAAGTCAGTGTAGCGATTCCTCAGGGATCTAGAACTAGGAATACCATTTGACCCAGCCATCCCACTACTGGGTATATACCCAAAGGACTATAAATCATGCTGCTATAAAGACACATGCACACGTATGTTTATTGTGGCACTACTCACAATAGCAAAGACTTGGAACCAACCCAAATGTCCAACAATGATAGACTGGATTAAGAAAATGTGGCACATATACACCATGGAATACTATGCAGCCATAAAAAATGATGAGTTCATGTCCTTTGTAGGGACATGGATGAAACTGGAAATCATCATTCTCAGTAAACTATCGCAAGAACAAAAAACCAAACACCGCATATTCTCACTCATAGGTGGGAATTGAACAATGAGATCACATGGACACAGGAAGGGGAATATCACACTCTGGGGACTGTTGTGGGGTGGGGGGAGGGGGGAGGGATAGCATTGGGAGATATACCTAATGCTAGACGATGAGTTAGTGGGTGCAGCGCACCAGCATGGCACATGTATACATATGTAACTAACCTGCACAATGTGCACATGTACCCTAAAACTTAAAGTATAATAATAATAAAAAAAAAAGACCACTCTGGTACAGGTAGGGCTAGAAAACAATAAGTATATAAACATAGTAACAGCTTTAGGCTTGGAAATAATTTTCAGCATTTTTTTCTCCTTTGCTTTCAAACATTAGCATGGATGAGAATGTGCTGTGCTGCAAGAATACTATAAGTGCAAATCAACTGAAAAATAATTCTTGCCAAACTTCCCTAATTATTCGACCAGCACCAATACAGAAAGTGAATTTTAGAGAGAAGTTTCTAAGTTGGAACAGCTTAGTCCCAGGTATTTTGTCACGGCAGCACAAATGGACTAAGACAGTATCACATGACTGGGTCACACACTTGGTCAATATGCTTTAACACTGCACCTTCCTAGGGGGCAGGCAACATGCTACTTACTCCCTCATGCGTTTCATCTTGGTCCTGGCCATCACACTGTTGAAAATTGGTGGTCCTGGGGACATGTCTTCAGCCATGGTGGTGATGGTCTTTGTGTCTGAAAATCAATGCACAGCCCTTATTGACTTCATCAGCAATCCTGCAACTTCAAGGCGATGTTCAAGGGCAATCAGAAAACAGAAGCTAATCCACCTTTGCCACATGGTAATGCTACATTAATTAGAGATGAATTCAATTATAACACGCACATTAAGAAGATTTATTCCAAATGACAAGATTATTTACAGTTTTAATATGCACAAGGTATTCCAGGAGAAAGCCTCTCTCACAAAGGATTGTTTAAACAAAACACCATTATTTAAAAGATGAGCTTTTTATCCTAGAAAACTCAGGGGGAAATGTATCTATAGAAAAGCAAGTGTTCCTGAGGACCCTTTGGCCATTCTCTTTCAGCAGGTGTGGATGTTTGACTAAGTGACTAGGAATTTTTCTAATAAGCTTAGTTTTCCTTTTATCTTAATCTTATACCTGAGCATTAGCTTTTTTTGCAATGGAAAGCAAAATGCTGACCAGAGGTCCTATCTGCAGCTTTAAACTTCAGCAGAATGGAGCAGAAGGCCAAAGTTGTGTTCAGAGGGTAAGAGTTGGTAATGAAAGTTGAGGTGTAATGAAATCTGCTGAGAGAGCTACAGTTTTTAATGAAACATCCTGAAGGCTCTTATAAAACATGTTGAAACTGAGGGAAAGAAATATTCCATCAACTGAAACAACACTACTTTCCATTAAAAAGCTAAAACTGGGTTGGGTGCAGTGGCTCATGCCTGTAATCCCGGCATTTTGGAAGGCTGAGGTGGGCGGATCACCTGAGGTCACGAGTTTGGGACCAGCCTGGCCAACATGGTGAAACCTCGTCTCTACTAAAAATATAAAAATTAGCTGGGTGTGGTGGCACTTGCCTGTAATCCCAGCTACTCTGGAGGCTGAGACAGGAGAATCACTTGAACTTGGGAGGCGGAGGTTGCAATGAGCTCAGATCGCACCACGGCACTCCAGCCTGGGTGAAAGAACAAGGCTCTGTCTCAAAAAAAAAAAAAAAAAAAAAAAAAAAAAAGAAGCTAAAACTGGCCCATTAGCAAGAGCTCAGGGCAATCCATAGAGCTGAATTTACAATTTGGCCCTATGCTGCTCTTTCCTCCCTGGAACTGGGAGCAGAGTACTCCCTGTGCACGTCCTTAGATCTCTTATAAGGTGCTTCACATCCCATCAGTAAAAAACTGTCCACTCCAATGATCATTTATAAATTATATCCATGTAGTTGCTATGTCAGAGAGAAGAGACTCATGTTATGAAATTCCCATTCTTTTCTCAACATATCTCATATAACATGTGCCTGCTTGACTTAGGGACCAAGTAAAGAAGCAAGGTGGAGTCCCCATTTTACATATTAGTAAAACTTTTTCTTCTTCTTTTTTTTGAGACGGAGTTTCGCTCTTGTTGCCCAGGCTGGAATGCAATGGCGTGATCTCGGCTCACCGCAACCTCTGCCTCCCGGGTTCAAGTGATTCTTCTGCCTCAGTCTCCTGAGTAGCTGGGATTACAGGCGTGCGCCACCATGCCTGGCTAATTTTGTATTTTTAGTAGAGACAGGTTATCTCCTGTTGGTCTCCTGTTGGTCAGGCTGGTCTTAAACTCCCGAGCTCAGGTGATCCGCCCACCTCGGCCTCCCAAACTGCTGGAATTACAGGCGTGAGCCACCACACCCGACCTTTTTATTTTTTTGAGATGGAGTTTTGCTCTTGTTGCCCAGGCTGGAGTGCAATAGTGAGATCTCGGCTCACTGCATCCTCCACCTCCTGGGTTCAAGCAATTCTCCTGCCTCAGCCTCCCAAGTAGCTGGGATTACAGGCTCCCGCCACCAAGCCCAGCTAATTTTTTTCTTTTTAGTAGATACAGGGTTTTGCCATGTTGGTCAGGCTAGTCTCGAACTCCTGACCTGAGGTGATCCGCCTGCCTCGGCCTGCCAAAGTGCTGGGATTACAGGCGTGAGCCACCCCGACTGGCTCTATTTTTTAAATTTTAAAAGTTAAATGCAAATTCTAATATGTCTCACATACATCCTCCTTTTGCACTACCTGTTGGGGCATGTATCCCACTTTGAACTTCTTGCTCCTATAGATATAATTGAGATGAATATTCTCCAGCTTAATTCTGTGCCAAAGTCTCTGATCTTTCCTTGGACTAGATCCCTAGTTATGGAAATACTGGATTAACAGGGACAAACCTTGTAAAGGGCATAATACAAATTAACAATGTGTTGCTCATAGTACATTCACCAGTTATGCCTTCATGATAAAGACACAAGTACCAGCAACTGATTGCTCCCATTTCTCTCACTCCTGGAGATTGCCCCTTCCACACCTGGAGAGAAAATTTGCCTCGGCCCTCACTGCAACTGGACAGCAGCTTTCTGTCAGCTCCAACCTTCCCACTAACTCTGGCCAGGACAGATACTTTTCCCCAGGAAGCTTGGGGAGTGGGCAAGAGGAAGGCATAGGGGTTTATTTCATATTCCTGTTGGTTGCTTTTTACAATAATCTTTCCTAGAACCTAAAAAGTTACTAAAACAACACCAACCATACCATGCTAAGTAACTCACATGCAAGCTCAAAAATCAGTTCCGCCAAGAATAAAAATAAGGTGCTCCTTTCCCATCTTTTCCAGAGCTGGCAAGTTTTGAAGACTTATGCAAATAAAGGTCAAAGCAATTTCCAGGAGAGCTGCAGTTTATTTTAAGCTGGCTACAGTTTCCCTCAATAAGGCACTCAGTCTGCTAGGAAAGATGCTAAGCCTTAAGCCCAAGGGTAGAAAACAGGGCAAGTATAATTTCGAGTAACAGGGTTGGCAAAGCTTGGTGCTCAGAGCAATTCCTTTTTCAGTGTTTCTTATTGGCCAACTTTCTTTCCCTCTGCCTCCCATCTTCCAACATGAATAGTAGTTGCTTTATGTCAAAGAAAAGGACAATTCATTTAACAATCATAATAAAAATAATTGGGGCAAGAACATAGATGTCATCCAATAGGTGACTGAATCCCAGAGTGTGTTTTAGACCACTGCTTCTCAAACTTTAATGTCATACAAATCATCCAGGGATCTTGTTAAAATGCAGATTCTTCTTTAGTAGGTTTGGGTAGGGCTTGGGATTCTACGTTTCCATATGTTCCCAGGTGATACCAATGCTGCTGGTCCTGCAACCACACTTTGAGTAGTAAGGCTCTAGACAGGCCAGCTACATAATTTGTGGGGCCCAGTGCTAAATGACAACGCAGAAATCCTTGTTCAAGAAACAAGAGAAAAGCTGTTTTTTGGGGGGTCTGTATTTGTCTGTGGACCTGTCATTGTGCTTTTTGTTGGGTATTTAATGTCATTCTCCCTCAGGAACTAGGGCAGATACTCTGCAGGGGAGTGTAGACACTTATAGGGACCTGGCAGTCTTACCTCACGGCAACCCTTCCTCACTATTACCTAGGATCCCATTGGGAATGGAAGATTGCAGTAGTTATGGGATGGGGATTAAGGGCTAGGTGGCAGAGGAACCTTCCCAGGTAGATGTCTTAAAGGCAAGACAGCACATGAGCAAGGCTTTAAGCCTTGAGCCTGTGTTCCACTGTGTTATCAGCTTTCACTCATAAAACACAAATTCAAAGATAAAATTTTATGAAACCCCATGTGTGGGCTCCTTCCTGAACCTAGGGCTCTGTGTAACTGCACTGGTCTCACGTCCATGAAGCCCTGGTTCTAGAGCTCTGCTTTCTTAAAGCTCTGCTTTCTGAAAAATAGCTGAATCCTTAATCCCCATGTTAATTTTCAAAAACTACTTTTGGATGGAATGGGCAAGATGGCCGAATAGGAACAGCTCCAGTCAGCAGCTGCCAGTGAGATCAACACAGAAGGCGGGTGATTTCTCCATTTCCAACTGAGGTACCAAGCTCATCTCATTGGGACTGGTTAGACAATGGGTGCAGCCCACAGAGGGTGAGCTGAAGCAGGGTGGGGCGTCGCCTAGCCAAGGGAAGCCATGAGGGACTGTGCCATGAGGAATGGTGCACTCTGGCCCAGATACTATGCTTTTCCCATGGTCTTTGCAACCCACAGACCAGGAGATTCCCTCGGGTGCCTATGCCACCAGGGCCCTGGGTTTCAAGCACAAAACTGGGTGGCCATTTGAGCAGACACTGAGCTAGCTGCAGGAGTTGTTTTTCATACTCCAGTGGCACCTGGAATGCCAGCGAGACAAAATCGTTCACTTCCCTGGAAAGGGGGCTGAAGCCAGGGAGCCAAGTGGTCTAGCTCAGCGGATCCCACCCCCACAGAGCCCAGAAAGCTAAGATCCACCAGCTTGAAATTTGCACTGCCAGCACAGCAGTCTGAAGTCAACCTGGGATGCTCAAGCTTGGTGGGGGGAGGGGCATCTGCCATTACTGAGGCTTGAGTAGGTGGTTTTCCCCTCATAGTGTAAACAAAGCTGCTGGGAAGTTTGAACTGGGCAGAGCCCACCGCAGCTTGGCAAAGCCTCTGTAGTCAGACTGTCTCTCTAGATTCCTCCTCTCTGGGCAGGGCATCACCGAAAAAAAGGCAGCAGCCCCAGTCAGGGGATTAAAGATAAAACCCCAATCTCCCTGGGACAGAGCCAATGGGGGAAGGGGAGGCTGTGGCACAGCTTCAGCAGACTTAAACGTCCCTGCCTGCTGGCTCTGAAGAGAGCAGTGGATCTCCTAACACAGTGTTCGAGCTCTGCTAAGGGACAGACTGCCTCCTTAAGTGGGTCCCTGACCCCCATGCCTCCTGACTGGGAGACACCTCCCAGCAGGGGTTGACAGACAAATACAGGAGAGTTTGGGCTGGCATCTGGTGGGTGCCCTTCTGGGATGAAGCTTCCAGAGGAAGGAACAGGCAGCAATTGCTGCTGTTCTGCAGCCTCCACTGGTGGTACTCAGGCAAACAGGGTCTGGAGTGGACCTCCAGCAAACTCCAGCAGACCTGCAGCAGAGGGGTCTGGCTGTTAGAAGGAAAACTAACAAACAGAAAGGAATAGCATCAACATCAACAAAAAGGACATCCACTCAGAAACCCCATCTGAAGGTCACCATCAAAGACCAAAGGTAGATAAATCCATGAAGATGAGGAAAAACCAGCACAAAAAGACTGAAAATTTCAAAAATCAGAATGCCTCTTCCCCTCCAAAGGATCACAACTCCTCACCAGCAAGGGAACAAAATTGGAGGGAGAATGAGCTTGACAAATTGACAGAAGTAGGCTTCAGAAGGTGGGTAATAACAAACTCCTCTGAGCTAAAAAAGCATGTTCTAACCCAATGCAAGGAAGCTAAGAATGTTGATAAAAGGTTAGACGAATTGCTAACTAGAATAACCAGTTTAGAGAAGAACATAAATGACCTGATGGAGTTGAAAAACACAGCACGAGAACTTTGTGAAACATACACAAGTATCAATAGCTGAACTGATCAAGTGGAAGAAAGGATATCAGAGACTATGAACTTAATGAAATAAAGCATGAAGACAAGATTAGAGAAAAAAGAATGAAAAGGAATGAATAAAGCCTCCAAGAAATATGGGACTATGTGAAGAAACCAAACCTATGTTTGATTGGTGTACCTGAAAGTGATGAGGAGTATGGAACCAAGTTGGAAAACACATTTCAGGATATTATCCAGGAGAACTTCCCCAACCTAGCAAGAGAGGCCAACTTTCAAATTCAGGAAATACAGAGAACACCACAAAGATACTCCTCGAGAAGAGCAACCCCGAGACACGCAATCGTCAGATTCACCAAGGTTGAAATGAAGGAAAAAAGGTTAAGGGCAGCCAGAGAGAAAGGTCAGGTTACCCACAAAGGGAAGCCCATCAGACTAACAGTGGATCTCTCAGCAGAAACCCTACAAGCCAGAAGAGAGAGAAAGGTCAGGTTACCCACAAAGGGAAGCCCATCAGACTAACAGTGGCTCTCTCAGCAGAAACCCTACAAGCCAGAAGAGAGTGGGGGCCAATATTCAACATTCTTAAATAAAAGAATTTTCAACCCAGAATGTCATATCCAGCTAAACTAAGCTTCATAAGCGAGGGAGAAATAAAATCCTTTACAGACAAACAAATGTTGAGCGATTTTATCGCCACCTGGCCTGCCTTACAAGAGCTCCTGAAGGAAGCACTAAACATGGAAAGGAACGACCAGTACCAGCCACTGCAAAAACATGCTAAATTGTAAAGACCATTTAAACTATGAAGAAACTGCATCAACTAATGAGCAAAATAAAGAGCTAGCATCATAATGACAGGATCAAATTCACACATAACAATATTAATCTTAAATGTCAATGGGCTAAATGCCCCAATTAAAAGACATGGACTAGCAAATTGGATAGAGAGTCAAGACTCATCAGTATGCTGTATTCAGGAGACCCATCTCACATGCAGAGACACACATAGGCTCAAAATAAAGGGATGGAATAATATTTACCAAGCAAATGGAAAGCAAAAAAAAGCAGGTGTTGCAATTTAGTCTCTGATAAAACAGACTTTAAACCAACAAAGATTAAAAGAGACAAAGAAGGACATGGCATAATGGTAAAGGGATCAATGCAACAAGAACAGCTAACTATCCTAAATGTATAAGCACCCAATACAGGAGCACCTAGATTCATAAAGCAAGCCCTCAGAGACCTACAAAGAGACTTAGACTCACACACAATAATAGTGAGAGACTTTATTAGACAGATCAATGAGACAGAAAATTAACAAGGATATTCAGGACTTGAACTCAGATCTGGACCAGGCAGACCTAATAGACATCTACAGAACTCTCCACCCGAAATCAACAGAATATACATTCTTCTCAGCACCACATCGCACTTATTCTAAAATTGACCACATAATTGGAAGTAAAAACACTCCTTTAGCAAATGCAAAAGAATGGAAATCATAACAAACAGTTTCTCAGACCACAGTGCAATCAATTAGAACTGAGGATTAAGAAACTCACTCAAACCACACAACTACATGGAAACTGAACAAGCTGCTCCTGAATGACTACTGGGTAAATAACGAAATAGGCGGAAATAAATAAGTTCTTTGAAACTGATGAGAACAAAGACACAACGTACCAGAATCCCTGGGACACAGCTAAAGCAGTGTTTAGAGGGAAATTTATAGCATGAAATGCCCACAAGCAAAAGCAGGAAAAATCTCAAATTGACACCCTAACATCACAATTAAAGAACTAGAGAAGAAAGAGCAAACAAATTCAAAAGCTAGCAGAAGGCAAGAAATAACTAAGATCAGAGCAAAACTGAAGGAGTTAGAGACAGGAAAAACCCTTCAAAAAATCAATGAATCCAGGAGTTGGTTTACTGACAACAAAATAGATATACTGCTAGCCAGACTAATAAAGAAGAAAAGAGAGAAGAATCAAATAGACACAATAAAAAATGATAAAGGGGATATCACCACTGATTCCACAGAAATACAAACTACCATCAGAGAATATTATAAACACCTCTATGCAAATAAACTAGAAAATCTAGAAGAAATGGATAAATTCCTGGACACATACACCCTCCCAAGTCTAAATCAGGAAGAAGTTAAATCCCTGAATAGACCAAGAACACATTCTGAAATTGGGGCAGTAATTAACAGCCTACCAACCAAAAAAAGTCCAGGACCAGATGGATTCACAGCCGAATTCTACCAGAGGTACAAAGAAGAGCTGGTACCATTCCTTCTGAAAGTATTCCAAACGATAGAAAAAGAGGGATTCCTCCCTGACTTTTTATGAGGCCAGCATCATCCTGATACCAAAACCTGGTAGAGACACAACAAAAAAAAGAAAATTTCAGGCCAATATCCCTGATAAACATCGATGCGAAAATCCTCAATAAAATACTGGCAAACTGAATCCAGCAGCACATCAAAAAGCTTATCCACTACAATCAAGTCAGCTTCATTCCTGTGATGCAAGGCTGGTTAAACTTAGGCAAATCAATAAAAGTAATCCATTACTTAAACAGAACAAATGACAAAAACCACATGATTATCTCAATAGACACAGAAAAGGCCTTCGACAAAATTCAACACCCCTTCATGCTAAAAACTCTCGATAAACTAAGTTTTGATGGAACATATCTCAAAATAATAAAAGCTATTTATGACAAACCCACAGCCAGTATCATACTGAATGGGCAAAAGCTGGAAGCATTCCCTTTGAAAACTGGCACAAGACAAGAATGACCTCTCTCATCACTCCTATTCAACATAGTATTGGAAGTACTGGCCAGGGCAATCAGGCAAGAGAAAGAAATACAGGGTATTCAAATAGGAAAAGAGGAAGTCAAATTGTCTCTGTTTGCAGATCACATGAGTCTATATTTAGAAAACCCCCTCGTCTCAGCCCAAAAACTACTTCAGCTGATAAGCAACTTCAGCAAAGTCTCAGGATACAAAATCAATGTGCAAAAATCACAAGCATTCCTATATACCAATAACAGACAAACAGAGAACCAAATCATGAGTGAACTCCCATTCACAATGGCTTCAAAGAGAATAAAATACCTAGGAATCCAACTTTCAAGGGATGTGAAGGACCTCTTCAAGGAGAACTACAAACCACTGTTCAATGAAATAAAAGAGGACACAAACAAATGGAAAATCATTCCATGCTCATGGATAGGAAGAATCAATATTGTGAAAATGGCCATACTGCCCAAGGTAATTTATAGATTCAATGCCATCCCCATCAAGCTACCAATGACTTTCTTCACAGAATTGGAAAAAAACTACTTTAAAGTTCATATGGAACCAAAAAAGAGCCCACATTGCCAAGACAATCCTAAGCCAAAAGAACAAAGCTGGAGGTATCACGCTACCTGACTTCAAACTATACTACAAGGCTACAGTAACCAAAACAGCATGGTACTGGTCCCAAAACAGAGGTATAGATCAATGGAACAGAACAGAGCCCTCAGAAATAATACCACACATCTACAACCATCTGATCTTTGACAAACCTGACAAAAACAAGAAATGGGGAAAGGATTCCCTATTTAATAAATGGTGCTGGGAAAACTGGCTAGCCATATGCAGAAAGATGAAACTGGATCCCTTCCTTACACCTTATACAAAAATTAATTCAAGATGGGTTAAAGACTTAAATGTTAGACCTAAAACCATAAAAATCCTAGAAGAAAACCTAGGCAATACCATTCAGGACATGGGCATGGGCAAGGACTTCATGACTAAAACACCAAAAGCAATGGCAACAAAGCCAAAATTGACAAATGGGATCTAATTAAACTAAAGAGCTTCTGCACAGCAAAAGAAACTACCATCAGAGTGAACAGGCAACCTACAGAATGGGAGAAAATTTTTACAATCTACTCATCTGACAAAGGGCTAATATCTAGAATCTACAAAGAACTTAAACAAATTTACAAGAAAAAATCAAACAACCCCATCAAAAAGTGGGCAAAGTATATGAACAGACACTTCTCAAAAGAAGACATTTATGCAGCCAACAGACACATGAAAAAATGCTCATCAACACTGGCCATCAGAGAAATGCAAATCAAAACCACAATGAGATACCATCTCACAGCAGTTAGAATGGCGATCATTAAAAAGTCAGGAAACAACAGGTGCTGGAGAGGATGTGGAGAAATAGGGACTTTTACACTGTTGGTGGGACTGTAAACTAGTTCAACCATTGTGGATGACAGTGTGGTGATTCCTCAAGGATCTAGAACTAGAAATACCATTTGACCCAGTGACCCCATTACTAGGTATACACCCAAAGGATTATAAATCATGCTGTTATAAAGACACATGCACATGTATGTTTATTGTGGCACTATTCACAATAACAAAGACTTGGAACCAACCCAAATGTCCATCAATGTTAGGCTGGATTAAGAAAATGTGGCCAACTATTGCAAGGACAGAAAATCAAACAAAAAGAGCCCACATTGCCAAGACAATCCTAAGCCAAAAGAACAAAGCTGGAGGCATCACACTACCTGACTTCAAACTATACTACAAGGCTACGGTAACCAAAACAGCATGGTACTTGTACCAAAACAGATATATAGACCAATGGAACAGAACAGAGCCCTCAGAAATAATACCACACATCTACAACCATCTGATCTTTGACAAACCTGACAAAAACAAGAAATGGGGAAAGGATTTCCTATTTAATAAATGGTGCTGGGAAAACCAGTGAGAACTGCATGTTCTCACTCATTGGTAAGAATTGAACAATGAGAACACTTGGACACAGGGTGGAGAACATCACACACCAGGGCCTGTCGTGGGGTGGGTGGAGGAGGGAGGGATAGCATTAGGAGATACACCTAATGTAAATGACGAGTTAATGGGTGCACACACCAACATGGCACATGTATACATACGTAACAAACCTGCACATTGTGTACATATACCCTAGAACTTAAAGTATAATTTAAAAAAATGTGGCACATATATGCCATGGAATACTATGGAGCCATAAAAACGGATGAGTTCATTTCCTCTGCAGGGAGACGGATGAAACTAGAAACCATCATTCTCAGCAAACTAACACAAGAACAGAAAACCAAACATTGCATGTTCTCACTCATAAGTGAGAGTTGAACAATGAGAACACATGGACTTAGGGAGGGGGACATCACACACCAGGGCCTGTCGGGGGTTGGGGGACAAGTAGAGGGATAGCATTAGGAGAAATACCTAATGTAGATGACGGGCTGATGGGTGCAGCAAACCACCATGGCATGTGTATACCTATGTAACAAACTTGCACCTCCTGCACATGTATCCCAGATCTTAAAGTATAATACAAAACCCTAATTTTGCCTTTATTAAAATACTAGTAAGTCAAATCCAGTAACATGAAGAAAGGATAGTATATCTTTCCTCCTGACAAGAATGTCTTCTCTTGCCATTTTTATATAACATTGTACTACAGGTTATAGCCAGGGAAATTGGGCAAGAAAAAGAAGTCAAAGGAATCCAAATTGGAAAGGAAAAAGTAAAATTATCTCAATTTGCGGATAACATGATTTTGTATATAGAAAATCTATGTCCTATAGAATATGATAGGCATATTCAGGTTTTCTATTTCTTTTTGTTAAAAAAATTATTTGTGTATTTATGTTTAGAGACAGACTCTTGCTATGTTGCCCAGGCTGACTTTGAACTCCTAGGCTCAAGTGATTCTCCCACCTCAGCCTCCCAATAGCTGGGACTACAGGTGCACATCCCTGTATTCAGCTTTCTATTGCTTCTGAGTCAGTTTCAGTGATTTTTGTCTTTCTAGAAATTTGTCCATTTCATCTAATTTATCTGATTTGTTGGTATACTGTTGTTCGTAGTATACCTTTACAATCCTTTTTATTTCTTTAAGGTTAGTAGTAATGTCCCCTCTTTCATTTCTGATGTATTAATTTGAATCTTCTCTTTTATTTTGTTGGTCAATATTTGTTGATCTTTACAAAGAACCTATTTTTTTTTGTTTCACTGACATCCTTTATTGTTTTTCCATTCTTTATTTTGCTTATTTCCACTCTGATTTTTGTAATTTTCTCCCTTCAATTTGCTTTGGCTTTAATTTGCTCATCTTTTTCCAGTTTTTTAAGCCATATATTTTATATGCTCAATAGGTGGGAGTTAAATCAAAAGCAATATAAATAGTAGCTGTGATTCTTAACCTATAAAAATCTTGCAGTCAATTAAGAAGATAGGCTATCTATACAGATGATCCCTAGTAGTACTATGGAGTACATATACATAAGACACTATACTATGTATGGGGCATGCAAAGAGGTATAATGAGGTCCGTGGAAAAAGCAATAACCTTCAAGTTAGGGGACCACAGTTATTCTTTTAGTTCTCTCACCAGCTCAGGCCACCTCCCTGGGTCTCACTTCCCTCATTTTATATTTCAGTAGTTTCATTAGACTGAAGGCCTTCCCTCAATTCTAACATTCTGTGATCTAAGACATAGGTCAGGCATAGCATTTACTTGGGAAGACAATGCCTATGCTAACAAAGATAAAGAGCAATCAAAGGAAACAAATGCTAAGAAGCAAATGGCTGGGACCAACAGTAAATGTTATGAGCATTATGTCAGGCAAAATCATCCTGAAGTCTCTCTTCTCATCTGTGAAATATAGAATGATGAGGATTATGACACTTGACAATATCCCATGGGGATGTTTTGACAATGAGATGAAAACAAAATGATACGAAGACACATTTGGCAATTGGATGCTGTGTTTCCTAAAAGTGCAAAGCACAGCTCATAATAGTAATATTGTCAGGATTCCTCCTACTTCTATGGTCTCTCACCAGCAAAGTTATTTTCCCTGAAGGAGTGACAGCTTGATAATTCTGACATTTCACCAGCAGAGAGTTTCTTCTCTCATTTCTTTGAAAAATTTCTTCTAAAATTTCCCTTTACCCATTTCAGTTGCTGGACAAATGACCTTGATCATAAAAGAAAAAGCTGTGTTTGCCCTCCCTGCTAAACACCCTGCCATGTGGGTAATAAAGAGCTGATGCAGGGACCACAGAGGTGGATATTTTGGCAAACAAGATCTCACTTAAGCACCTGAGACATTGCTTACTCAGGAATCCTCACAGACACTGCCCTTGGTGCACTGTACATTTAGAATGCTTCTTACCTAATCTTTAACCCTCGTCTTGCTCTGAATTTCCTAAGGAATACTTAGGAAATAGCAGTTACTTGACTGATACCACTCTTTGCCAAATTATTGCAAAAGTATATCCTCATGGCTCATATTTCTCCTCCTACTCCTTGGAATGCGACATGACAGAAGATTTGCCTAGATCAAGGTCAGCAAACCTTTATCTGTAAAGGGGCGGGTAGTAAATATTCTAGACTTTATAGACCATAGAATTTCTGTTGCAACTCAAGTCTGCTTCAGTAGCATGAAAATAGCTATAGGCAATAGGTAAATGAATGAGCATGGCTGTGTTCCAGTAACATTTTATTTACAAAAACAGGCAGTGAGACAGATTTGGAATGCAGGCCATAGTTTGCTGACCTCTGGCCTAAATGATAGAGATTCATCATGATTCTGAGCTGGATGTGACCCTAGAACACCTCAAGTCAAATTTCTTCATCTTACAGGTGTGAAGACTCAGGCCAAGAGAGGTTTTATGACTTGCACAAGGTCATAGAAAGGGGCAGAGCCCAGACTAGAACTGTGGTTTCCTGACTCCCAAATGAGTGCTCTAACATCCCATAGAAGTGCCACAACCAAATAACGAGTTTCATGTGATAATTAAAAAAAAATAAGATCATCAGACAGAACTTCCCCTCTAAAAGGTTGAAATTTGGGGTGATCATTATGTCTTCCATCTCATTTCTCCACCTCTCCAGATGACAGCCCCATGACTTATTATGAGGGGCTGTGAATCAGCAGGGCACTGTGAAAGCTGCTCTACTCTGCTGAGAGGCTTAGCTGACACAAACTTGGTGAAGATTTTTCCTTGAGCTTCTCCTGTGACAATAGTGGACATCAGAATGGCAACAAAACTGTCGAAGAATCTGCAAAACAGGGTAGTCTCTGTACTGCCTCACCTCAACACCTCAACACCCCAGAAATGGAGATGCACTATGCAGATCCTCCTTGAAGGAAGAACTTGCTACCCCAGCTGTTGGGAGTAGACAGCCTCCAGCTGTGGCCCCTTCAGGAAATTCTTCAGCCTCAGAAAGCTGCCTTCCCCCAAATCATGCCCCTCCAAGTAGCAACCTTTAATGACTGATCATGGTAGAGGTAGAGAACCTAACCATTATGGCCTTTGCTGGCAACACCCATGGGACTGGAGCTCTCTGAGGGTTTGGCTAAGGCTTGTCAGGCCTTCATCACTGCTCAACTTCTCCCTCTGCCTCATCCTGCATCCTTCTCCTTCTGTCCACAGGGTCAATCCCAAGGGCACTCATGCATAAAAGTCCTGCCTACTCAACTCTGTCAGAGACGGCTTCCTAGAAAACCCAGCCTAAAGGTTGAAGTGGATAAGGTTGAGGGCATGGAGATTATTGTCTTGGTTCCTTTAATAAGTTGGGTATTTGATAAGAGCAGTATTAGAAATAATGACATGACCATTCCTACCACTTCTTGTCCATCCCCAGCTCTTTCAGAGAATTGATTTTATTGGTACAGGGCAGAAGCCACTGCCAAAGAAGTTGTTGTCAACCCTGTGGCATCAGCGGTGTCAATGCCAAACCACATTAGGATGCTGGAGTAGAAAAGCACAGGAGGAAAAGGAAGAAGATGGTCTAGGAGAGAACAACCTCAAATGCTTTCCAGTAGGAAGGGAGCTGGGGCATATTAGGACAAGTATGTGAGCTGGCTTAGAGGACTTGGGTTTGAATCTTGATTCTGTGATGTTTGGAAAGGTAAAAATCTGTGACTCAGTTGCCTCATTGATACAAAAAAAAGAATCCTATCTTCTATGGCTCTAGTAAAGCTTAAATGTATATTAAACTTATATATAAAGGTACATTATTGCTACAAAAGACCCAAGGCAAATTTACACTACCTCCCCATGATGTCCACCACAATGCTTTGCATGGAGCAGCTTCTCAGTGTATCAATAGGACTCCACTGCCTACACCAAAATTAAATAGTTGGGAAAAAGTGGATCAACTTGGGAAAAGCAAACTTGCTACTTATAGGAAATATGATAAATACCAGAAGATAGAAAATAAAATATTTTTATTATGGTTATTTCACACTGCAAATATTCACCTGAATTTTATAGATGATTAAAAACAACAAGAGTTAAGGAGTTTGGAAATTCTTGTTTCCTTTTGAATACACCAGGAAAAACCTCTAAGAACAGTAGCTACCAGTAAAAGGAAGAGACGAAGTGTCTGTTTTTTGGATTGACATTCAGTAATTAAATGTGGATACAGGCTAAGATGAGATTTGTGGAAGCCAGACCCTAACTTTTTCATTTGTGCTTTCCCTGTGGAGACACTAGCCAATGTTTGGGGAGTTTAATTATTCTTATCTGCCAACATGAAGAAATTTAGCTTTAAAAACAAAACCTGCTTTTCTGTAATAGGAGGTTGATCTGGCTTCAAGACTGATTCAAATACTTAAGGAAAGTGTATCAGCAGTACTTCCTTCTCTTTTTTTAAGTTTTTAAAATTTTTGTTTTATTTTATTTCAATAGTTTTTGGGGAACAGGTGGTTTTTGGCTATATGGATAAGTTCTTTAGTGATGGTTTCTGAGATTTGGGTGCACCCATCACTAGAGCAGTGTGTACTGTGCCCCATGTGTAGTCTTTTATTCCTCACCCCCTCCCACCCTTCCCCCTGAGTCCCCAGAGTCCATTATATCATTCTGCCTTTGTGTCCCCACAGCTTAGCTCCCACTTATAAGTGAGAACATATGATGTTTGGTTTTCCATTCCTGAGTTACTTCACTTAGAATAATGGCCCCTCTAACTCTATCCAGGTTGCTGTGCATGCCATTATTTTGTTCTTTTTTATGGATGAGTAGTGTTCCATGGTGTATATATATATATACCACATTTTCTTTACTCATTGGTTGATGAACATTTATGCTGGTTCCATATTTTTGCAATCGCTGCTATAAACATGCATGTGTAAGTATCTTTTTTCATATAATGACTTCTTTTCCTTTGGGTAGATACCCAGTAGTGAGATTGCTGGATTGAATGGTAGTTCTACATTTAGTTCTTTAAGGAATCTCCATACTGTTTTCCATAGTGGTTGTACTAGTTTACATTACCACCAGGATGCGTTCTCACTTTTCATTAGAATGTGAATCCTGACAATTGCGGGGGAAGCATGTAGCTCTCACTATCGTCAGCAGAACAGAAGATAAATTGAAAAATGATTACCTGGTATCATGTACTCCTTAGCTTCTATGAAAGCCAAAAGAGGAGATGTTTCCACAAGACACCGCAAGGGCCATCTCTCCTTTCACATCTCTAGTTATTCCTAAAATTCTATCCTTACAACAGTGGAGCTCATTAATATAGTAAATATTTGTTATTTTTGGCCTTACATTCTCATTTCCCTTGTAAGGGGAATCTTTTACTTTGTGAGACAGAGCCTGGCTCCCATTAAAGCCATGAATGCCGAAGACTAACTTACCAGTCTCCCATGTAATTAGGGTGTAGAAATATGACCAGCCTCTGCCAGTAAGATGAATTTGGCTGGACATGGTAGTTCACATCTGTAATCCCAGCACTTTGGGAGGCTGAGTCAGGTGAACCACTTGAGCCCAGGGGTTCAAGACCAGCCTGAGCAACATGGCAAAACCCCATCTCTACAAAAAATACAAAAAAAAAAAAAAATTAGCCAGGCATAGTGGCACATGCCTGTAGTCCCTGCTGCATGAGAGGCTGAAGCGGGAGGATTACCCTGAGCCCAGGAGGTCAAGGCTGCAGTGAGCCATGATTGTGCCACTGTACTCCAGCACAGGCAATAGAGTGAGACCCTGTCTTAAAAAAAAATTGATAATGAGAAGAAGCAGAGACCACATGAAGTCCATCCAGGCAGGTTTGCGGTAGGAACATCAGCCACATCCAGGTTCCCAAGGCAGCAATATTGGTCAGTCTAAAAACTGTGCCCAGTATCTAACATTATTATCCTTGAGGACACTCAAGATTCTCTGTGGAAAGGCCAATTTGGAAGGGATCTGAGGCCAGCTGTGTGAGTCATCTGGGAAATGCAATCTCCAGCCCCAGTGAAGCCTTCAGATGACTGTGGCCCTGGGTGATAGCTAACTGCAAACTCATGAGAGACCCTGAGCCAGAACCATCCAGTTACGCCCTCCTAAATTCATGACCTACAGCAACTATGAGAGGTAATAAATGATTATCATTGTTTTCAGCCCATATGTTTTTGAGTAATTTGTTATGCATCCATAGAGGACCAATATAGGCATTGAGCTTTTATGGTAGGTCAGGATAAGAAACAAATACATAAAAAATATTTCTGCATTTACCTTAAAACCAGTTTTGAAATCACTATATTGGTGCATAGTCTTTGTAGAAGACCTATGTTAGAGTAAGTTTTTAGAACTTAGGGTTAAAAGATTAACTTTGAACAAATTAATTTCTTAAATCTCTTAAAAATGTTTTAAATTTTGTTTTCATTGACACATAATTATTGTATGTAATTATGGGATACAATGTGGTGTTTAGATAAATGTATACATTGTATAAAAATCAAATCAGTGTATTTAGCATATCCATCACCTTATACATTCATCATTTCATCGTGGTAAGAACATCCAAAATCTTCTCTTCTAGCCATTTTGAAATGTACAATATGATATTGCTAACCACGGTCACCCAACTGTGCAATAGAATACCGAAATTTACTCCTCCTATCTAATTTTAACTTTATACTCATTGACCAATCTCTTCTTATCTTCCTCTCTTCTCTCCTTCCCAGCCTTTGGAGACAAATTTAACTGTTTATTTAAGCAAAGAATGATTTATGAATTGGACAGCCCTCAGAACCACAAGAGGTTTGGAGAACTCTATTCTGCAGGCAAGCAGCATTTATCGATAGAAAATGGAAGTGAGGTATAGAACCAGCTTTATTGGTTACAGCTGGGCATTTGCCTTATTTGGACATGGTCTAATCAGTTGGCAACCCAAGGAAAGCTTTACAGAGAAGTAGAAGGTTTGTAATTCTGGTGTTTGTGAGGGCAGGGCAAGGTTGTGTTCACTGAAATATTCTCAGAGGCCAACACATAGTATGGCATACAACTTTTTTTTCAATAATCACTTAATGAATGAATAGAAAGATAGAAGTAGAGCTGCCAAGCAGTCGGGAGGGGAAGCATTCTCTAGAAAGGATCAAGCAGTGTGAAAGCTCAGAAGTGTGAAACAACTGAGTATATTCATGGAAATATCAAGAAGTTTGGTGCTACTGGAATGTAAGGTGTGAGGAAGGGATTGATGAACCTAGATGTATAGGGCCAAGGCCAGAAAAAAATCTTGTGTGCCAGGTTAGGAGTTTGAATCTCATCCTGTGGGTTAGGATACCACTGTTTTATTTTTTTAAAGTACGATCTGAAAAGGTCACCTTTAACAAACAAGGAGAGTGCTTTGAAAGCAGTGACTTGAAATGTAGAACTGGGTATGTGTTATTACTACTCAGATAACAGATCACATGTTACTACAGTAACTGTTTAGGATCATCATTGCTCAGTAAGAAAGACAGAAGATGACCTCTAACTTCATTTTCTTTGAACTTCTTAGAAATGAAAATTCTGTCTCCATATCTTAGTAACTACATTATGAGCCAAGGTAATCTACAAACTTTAACATTCTTAAATGTTTGGGAAATTAGCTGTTCTTTCTCTCTTTCTTTCTTTCTTTCTTTCTTTCTTTCTTTCTTTCTTTCTTTCTTTCCTTCTTTCTGTCTGTCTGTCTGTCTGTCTCTCTCTCTCTCTCTCTCTTTCTTTCTTTCTTAGATGGAGTCTTGCTCTTCTCACCCAGTCTGGAGTGCAGTGGTGTGATCTTGGCTTGCTGCAACCTCCACCTCTTGGGTTAAAGCGATTCTCCTGCCTCAGCCTTCTGAGAAGCTGGGATTACAGGCACCCGCCATAATGCCTGGCTAATTTTTGTATTTTTAGTAGAGACGGGGTTTCACCATGTTGGCCTGGCTGGTCTTGAACTCCTGACCTCAGGTGATCCACCCACCTTGGCCTCCCAAAGTGCTGGGATTACAGATGTGAGCCACTGTGCCCAGCCAAATTAGCTGCACTTCTAGCTGAGAAAAGTTATCAGCAGAATTATACATGTCCTTGGTAAACTATATTTATAAAAAGGCTTTGTACATCCAAACTGGATGTTGTTTCAGAAGTAATTAGAATTTCACAGATGCTCCAAAACCTCACTTCCCATTAAGATTCTTTTAATGTGTTAATAGGTCTGATCAGTTTTGCTGTTTGAAAATTGTTACCCCTCAATTCTTCCATAGAACTTTGGTAATAATTCCTTAATCTCTGCTAAACAATAACACTGATATAGACCAGAGAAATCATCAGGGCTTCTGAATCCCTTAGAAACTTCCCTTGCTTAAGCTCTTCAAACTCTTAAGCCATTAAGTGTGGTGATGACTTAAAGTCAGTTAATCTTGCACTATTGTGTTTTTCACCTTGACAGAAAAAAATTTCTCATGCTAGTCTCACAGAGATTTCAACATACTGTTTTACTTTGGTTACTGACACATTGCGACCACTTTCATTGGAAGAGAGAAGGGATATTCTGGATTATAAGCCACTTGGATCATTTTGATGTGGATACACAATATCTGTTTTCCATTATCCCTTCTGTTTATGTCTTATAGAGATTTATGTCTTATGAAAAATTTAAATTTCTACAACTTCTTTAAAACTCCAAAGAACGCAACAGATTCAGGATTAGTGACAACTTACGGAGAACATGCTACATGTCTGCTACCTTGCCAGACAGCTCCATTTGATCCATGTGTAGCAAGGGGAGGTAGCAAGGAAAAGACTTTGTAATATAAATAAATCCCTTTAACAATATTATTAATTACTCTTATTAGCATACTCATAGCAAAGAACATTATGTATATTGGTGTTAACTAGAAAGAAGTTCCAGTAATCAAGTTTACATAGCTAAAAGAGAAACTCACCAATCATTAATTCACTTAATACACATGCATTATGGTTTCATTGAAGTTAATATACTTTGTAGCAGGGATATTGTACATTGCACTGGGGTTATACCCCAGTACACACCCAACACACATTTGCCTTATTCACAGTGTATGGTGTACTCATCACAGTATTCTGTAATTATCTGCCTCCCTGACTATACTGGGAAATCATTAAGACAGGGACTTGTTTTCTTCGCCACTCTATCTGTGACATTTGGCTTATAATGCAAACTTTATAAACATTTGTAGGGAAGGAAGAAGAGGAAAGGAAATCAAGGATAGAAATTTCAACTACGGAAATGTCATGTTTCAAAGTATCTGCCCTCAGTAAAATAGCTATTGGCTATATTATTGGCTATTCCCCATGCCCTCATTCTGGACTTTTTTTCTGTTCCCTTTTCATTTCTTCCCTCTTTCTTTCTCCTAATTCTGCCTAGAATCACTTAATATCCTGT
This sequence comes from Homo sapiens, assembly GCF_000001405.40. Taxonomy (NCBI): domain Eukaryota; kingdom Metazoa; phylum Chordata; class Mammalia; order Primates; family Hominidae; genus Homo; species Homo sapiens. The sequence continues at coordinate 131,253,348 of NC_000003.12, read as the reverse complement.
TCATGTCTGGTCTTGCTTCTTGTATCCCATGGGAAATTTTGGTGGGAATTTAGCGTTTTGTAAATGAGGGGCCTTCATGTAAGACAATTTGTTTTCCATGTATGAGAAAAGCACCTAGTAGGTATTCCCTGGTACTTTCACAAAACCTTGCACTGATCTGTCCAGGAGCCCACCTCATGACAAGGACCATATTCTAAATGAGTCTCAATATCCAACTCTTTATGCAATGCCTTGAACCTTCATGAGCTCTCTAAATGCCTGATGTGGATGCTGAGGATCAGGCAGAAATACAATACCACTTCTAAGGAAGCTCAGTAACTCTTATGCACAGTGCCAGATAGCCCATCACACAGGACAGGATCACAGAAAGAAAGAGGAAAAAAATCTAGGAAGAAAACATTTCATTTTAGCTTATAGCTTTTAAGTTCTCTATAATTTTTGGAAATAAAATTTTTATTTTACACTTTAGTATTGTTCTGTTTGAATTATAAATTGGGGTGAGTGTGCACGATAATCCTTTCAAGGCTTAAAGATTATAAAGCCATAGTTCTTAAAGTGCAGTCTGGACCCAGAGCATCAGCATCATGTAGGAAGTTGTCAGAAATACAAATTCTTGGACACATACCAAACCTGTATTTTAAGCCCTCTAGGTAATTCAGATGCATGCCCAAGTGTGAAAATCACTGATCTCAAGGCTTTAATCTGACCTTGATGCTATAAAGGAGACTAATACACTGAACTTGAAATGCAAAAAGTCATCTTCAGGATCTCCTGAAGCCACACAAATGCTAACTCATTCATTCAGTCCACTCATCTGTGATGTAAGAAAGAAAAATATCACTGTCCCTGTTCCAAGTAGAATTCAAACTAAATTGGGGTCAGGAATGGGGTCAAGCCACTACACACAGCATTTTCAGGGTTTCGAAGTTAAAAATTTCTTGGTTGAAATTACCAGAAAGGACATGTGTATGTCTGTTTTTCTTTCTTCTCTGGTTAAGAGATAGAAGAAGCTCTTGAAGATGTTTGTAGAAGATACATACATATCTTGACATGCTCTGCAGGCACCTGGGCATTACCAAAGTGCCTAGGCAGATAATGAGCATGAGTAAAGCCTAGTTCAATTCACAGAGGTTTCATTTTGAAGTGAAAAAGCTTATACTCTGACATACTTAAGCTTAAATTGTCCCCGGATCCTGTTAACATTCTGACATATATTAACAACCACAATGATTAATAAGCTCTAACTATTATTACAGTTAGTGGGCCTCCCAAAAATGTAATAGGAACAAAGCAGACACAAGCTACCTGGGCAATGTTAGACCCTTATAAGACTATGTGATGGGATTGTCTTCATGATTTCTATATAATGACAGGGAAGTTCTTGCAGTCCTGAAAGCAATAAAGTTCTCATGTGTAATGAGGGTCCTGCTATGAGTTTCCACACCAGACAGGTATTTCAAAAGCATGTGCTCCCATCATCTCAATGTCTGTAGCCATAATCAAAGAACTCCTTCCATTTCAGCAGCAGCATTAATTAAATTCTACTGTTCTGGTAACATAAGAGGTCACACACAATAAGAGGTCATCATAGTCATAAGAAGCAGTAGAAGGGTTAAGGGGCTTCCTGTGTTGCACAGTTTTGGGCAGCAAGCACTTTAGCAGTTACATGGAATGAACTCTGAAATGTCCTATAAATCATCCCAGCAGATGCCAGGACATAAGCAGAGTAAAGGTATCCAAAACTGAAAAATACATTTAATTAACGTATTCAGAACCTTGCAATCAGATAATCTGAAAAGAAGCTATTATAACTTCAGGGTATATGTATTTTTTATTTTATAATCTAGCTTCTTTTTAATTTACAAATTTAGTTTACTATAATCTTCTCAGAAATCAAAGTGTCCAAAAGTCTTAATCCAGCCTTAATAGCAGGCACACTAAAGTAATGGAGGGCAGAATTGGGCTCTTTGCTTTCCAACACTTACCTCTTTTTAAAAATTGACTTCTAATCTAAGAATTCATGTACCTAGTACTTTTTTAAGTCAAAGCTTTTAATGTTAAAAACAAGAAAGCTTCCTGCCTCACCTTCAAGTTCCAGTCTCCAAAGTCAACCATATTCAACTCTTTAACTTGTTTTTTTTTTTTTTTGTATTTACCTTTATCTCTCTATAGCACATGTTTATACAACTATTTTTTTTAAACTTTTCTGTTTTAGACAATCTGTTTTGGACTTCCTACTATAAATAGGGAATGTTAATTTTGTTCTTTCTTTCCTCTCTCTGTTATACACACACACACAGATGCACACATACACTTACAAATATTTTTCTTCCCTCCATCTTTCCAATATAGTTACATCACATTTAAAAAAAATTATTATGACTATGCAAATATTGTATACAGCTAAGCACTCAGTGTGTGCAGATTACATTTTCTTTTTAAAAAATGACTTTTTGTTTTTCCAGGAGTTCATAATTGCCCTGGATTTTTCACTTTGTTTAGTTTTCTAATAACTTCTAATTCATCCCTAAACTCACCAAAGGAACTGCAAACTCCTCTCATTATGATAAAATCCAAATGGGTTATCCATTAGTTCCATTCCTCTCTAGGAGATATTTATTTACCCCTTGGAATTCTCTGACTCATTCTAGTCTGAATGGATTATTTCCCAGGCCTGTTGCCCACCTATCGTTCAGTGACCTTTCTTTACTCTCATTCTGGGAATCCCCTTAACCTCTCTCCTATATTGGATTTCCTATCACCTGAAGTTCATGTCTTCCTCTTTCTTGATTGACTCTTAGGTTTGATGACGCATATCCTCTAGGAACTTCCTAAGTAAAGTCATGGGAGGTAGATATTTTTCAGACCTCATTTTTGATATTGGATGCCTGCAAATGTCTTTCTTCCTTTCTCACACTTGATTGATAGTTTGGATAGATAAATATTTGTAGGTTCAAACTTTATTATCTTCTAGCTTTTAGTTATTGTTGAAAAATAAGACACCACTCTTTTCTCTGATACTTTATAAGTGGTCTGTTTGATTCTCTCTAGATATTTTTCTTATTTATTTGATAATTTTTTTCATTTTCTGTTCTTTTTTCCTGGAATTTCTATTTGTTAGGTGCTGAATCACGTAGATGAATCACTTTGTTTTCTTACCATTTATTAATTATATTCTGGTAAATTTCCTCACTTTTATCTTCCAAACCTTCTACTGAATTTTTATTTCTGCCATTAAAATTATAACTTTAAGAGCTCTTTCTTATTCTCTGTATGATTTGCTTCACAGAGGTAATACTTTCTCTGCTATCTTTTAGAATTTTAATATTGTTTCTTTAATTTTTTATTTTAAAAAACTTTTGTGGATACACAGTTTTTGAATTTTTATTTTCTTGTCTACATTGTCTGTTTCCTGAGTTCTTTGTATATTTTTGTCTTGATTTCTCTTTTTGGTTAGATTTCCTCAGATACTGGCTACTGCATTGCTACATGTTCACATTTAAGTGTGAAAAATTAAAAGTCAGTTTAAGCTCTTTCTGCAGATTCAGAGATTGTCAACTGGTAGCGCTCATTCCCACCATTTTGTTGAGGAAATGTTAACATCCTTAGGATTCTCAGGCTGGTAAATGCTGTCAGAGAGATATCTTCTAAAGAGTCCATGCTTTTCTGAACCTGAAGGAGTCCATGCTGTTCTTCCAGTGTTTCAGAAGCCAAGTAGGAATGGTATCTGGGGGTTTCATAACTTAATATGAAGACTTTCAACTCATCTCTTTGTTTTCATCACATCACATCACCCTGTCCTTTGGTGTCCCTAAAACCTTCCTGATTCAATGTTCCCCCAAATCGAGTCTGTTTTCTTCTGTCTTGACTGTGGAGAGGAATATTGTGGCTGTGCCAGTGGAGAGAAAGGCACCTGGGGTCTATTTCTCCTTACGCACACTGTCAACCAATCTTCCCATTTTAATCTTCACCTATACCATGCCTTCAGCGGTAGTTGAGGCCTCCAAATCTTGAGCATTTATGAGATTCTGTAGGTTCAGTTGCCTTGCTTCTCCTAGCCTACACCTTACCTTCCCTTCTTTCCTATATACATCTTAGGCACTTAGCTTTCAGCTTTCTCTGTTTTCTAAATCAGTTATCACTCATCTATCTGCTTTATATCTTTCTCAAGTTCACTAAAGCTCTCATCTGCTTCCATCTCCTCTTATGTTCTCTTTTTTTTCTGTAGGTTTATATTAGCTTTTTTCCTTTTTTGTCATGTTAGTGGGACTTCAAGCAGAGATAAATGTGTATTTTTACTCCATGATTCTAATGCTCATTTCTTTAAGGAAAAAAAAAACACCCAGCCTAGAAAGGAATTTGGATATTAACTATTCAATCAGTGCTATTTCAATTTTTAGCAGTGGAATCTATCTTTTTCCAGACACAATCTTTTATAGAAATTCAATTTATAAAACAGATAAGAGTGAAGATAATTTTGGTTGAAACTGGTAAAAGAACAGGGTCTGCATCTAATTTCTCCTAAAAATATTTTTAAATATTTCACATGGAAAAAGCAAAATAGTGCACAGAGATTCACACTATAATCTTTTATTCAAGAAAGAACAGAGGAATTCACTGGAAAAGGAAAGATCCCAGTGAAGAGAGGATGGGTAGACAGCCTGCATGCCAACAACTGACTGAGAACTGTGAGTAAAGCCCTAATATGGGAGAGTGAGAGAGACTGTTTCTCTGTGATCCAGCTTTCCACGGGGGGACCATGCAATCCAGGCCATGGAAGAGCACCTTGTCCCTCACCAGCCCTGGTGCTAACTTGGAGAAAGGCTGGCAGGCTGTAAGAAAGAAAGGCTCCAGGAAGTGCCCCAAGCATTTTTCCAGACCCAAACCTCAGCTTCCATGATATGATTATTATGTATTGTATGCCTATTTAAAAAATCTCATGTACTCCATAAACACAAACACCTACTATGTACCCACATAAATTTTTTAAGAACCATATGATCATCTATATAGATGCAGAAAAAGCATTTGAAAAAAGTCAGCATTCTATCATGATAAAACCTTCTATAAATGAGGCATAAAAGAAACCTACCTCAAAATAATAAAGGCCATATATGACACATCTACAGCCAACATCATACTGAATGGGGAAAAGTTGAAAGCAATTCTCCTAAACCTGGTACAAGTCAAGAATGCCCACTTTCATTACTCCTGTTCCACACAGTACTAGGAGTCCTACCCAGAGCAACCAAGCAAGAGAAAAATAAATAGCACCCAAATTGGAAAAAAGAAAGTCAAATTATCTCAGTTTGCTGATCATATGATCTTATACCTAGAAAACACTAGACTTCTCCAAAAACTGTTAGATTAGATGAACAAATTAAGTAAAATTTCAGGATACAAAATAAACATACCAAAATCTATGGCATTTCTGTACACCAATAACAATCACATTAAGAACCAAATCAAGAAGGCAATTCCATTTACAATAGCTACAAAAAAAAAAAAACCCTAGGAATACATTTAACCAAATAAGTGAAAAATTTCTACAAGGAAAACTACAAAACACTAATGAAAGAAATCATAGATGATGCAAACAAATGGAAACACATCCCACGCTCATGGATGGAGAGAATCAACATTGTGAAAATGACTTCAATGCAATTCCCATCAAATACCACCATCATTCTTCACAGAACTATAAAAAGAAACTCTAAAATTCATATGAAACCAAAAAAGAGCCTGCATACCCAAAGCAAGACTAAGAAAAAAGAATAAATCTGGAGGCATCACATTACCTGACTTCAAACTATACTATATTATAAGGCCATAGTCATCAAAACAACATGGTACTGGTATAAAAACAGGCACAAAAACCAATGGGTCAGAATAGAGAATCCAGAAATAAAGCCATATACTTATAGCTAACTGATATTCAACAAAGCAAACAAAAACATAAAGTAGGAAATGGACACCCTATTCAACAAATCGTGCTGGGATAATTGGCAAGTCACATGTAGAAGAATGAAACTGGATCCTCATCTCTCACCTTATACAAAAATCAACTGAAGATGGATCAAAGACTTAAATGTAAGACCGAAACCATAAAGATTCTAGAAGATAACATCAGAAAAAACCCGTGTAGACACTGGCTTAGCCAAATACTTCATTACCAAGAACCTGAAAGCAAATGCATCAAAAACAAAGATAAATAGATGGGACTTAATTAAACTAAAAAGCTTCTGCACAGCAAAAGAAATAAACAGCAGAATTAACAGACAACCCACAGAGTGGAAGAAAACCTTTACAATCTATACATCCAACAAAGCACTAATATTCAGAATCTACAAAGAACTCAAACAAGTCAGCAAGAAGAAAACAAAAAAAAATCCCATCAAAAAGTGGGCTAAGGACATAAGTAGACAATTCTCAAAAGAAGATATACAAATGGCCAACAAGCATATGAAAAAATGCTCAACATCACTAAGTATCAGGGAAATGCAAATAAAAACCATAATGTGATACCACCTCACTCCTGCAAAAATGGCCATAATTTTAAAAATCAGAAAATAATAGATATTGACATGGATGCAGTGAAAAGGGAACACTTTTACTCTGTTGATGGGAATGTAAATTAGTACAACCACTATGGAAAACAGTATGAAAATTATTTAAAGGACTAAAAGTAGATCTTCCATTTGAGCCAGCAATCCCATTACTAGGTATCTACCTAGAGGAAAAGAAGTAATTATATGAAAAAGATGCACATGCATGTTTATAGCAGCACAATTTGCAATTGCAAAAATATGGAACCAGCCCAAATGTCCATCGATCAATGAGTGGATAAAGAAAATGTGATACACATACACATGTGGTACACACACCACGGAATACTATTCAGCCATAAAAAGGAATGAAATAATGGCATTTGCAGCAACCTGGATGGAAATGGAGACTGTTATTGTAAGTGAAGTAGTTCAGGAATGGAAAACCAAACATCCTATATTCTCACTCATGTGAGAGCTAAGCTATGAGGACACAAAGGCATAAGAATGATACATTTGGACTTTAGGGACTTGTGGGGAAAGGGTGAGGGAGGTGAGGGATAAAAGGCTACACGCTGGGTACAGTGTTCACTGCTAGGGTGATGGGTGCACCAAAATCTCATAAATTGCCATTAAAGAACTTATTCATGTGGCCAAACACCAACTGTTCCCCAAAAACCTATTGGAATAAAAAAAATTTTTTTGTTTAAAGAAAACCTAGGGAAAACTCTTCTGGACATTGGTCTATGCAAAGAATTCATGACTAAGACTACAAGAGCATAAGCAACAAAACCAAAAATAGACAAATGGGACTTAATTAAACTAAAATGTTTCTGTGTAGCAAAAGAAACAAATCAACAGCATAAACAAACAATCTGCAGAACAGGAGAAAATATTTGCAAACTATCAATCTGGCAGGGACTAATATCCAGAATTTATGAGGGACTCAAACAACCATCACCAAAAACAAACAAACAAACAAAAAAACAAAAAACAAAAAAACCCCAACTAACTCGAATAAAAAGTGGGCAAAAGACATGCATGAACAGACATTTTTCAAAAGAAGAAGACATAAATGGGCAAAAGACATATGAAAAAATGTTCAACATCACTAATCATCAGATAAATGCAAATTAAAACCACAAGAAGGTATCTTACACCAGTCAGAATGGCTATTACTAAAAAGACAAAAAATAACAGATGTTGATGAGGATACAGAGAAAAAGGAACATTTATACAGTATTTTGGTAGGAATATAAATTTGTACAACCTGTATGAAAAATAGTATGGAGATTGCTCAAAGAACTACCATTCAATCTAGCAATCCCACTACTGGGTATATACCCAAAGGAAAAGATCATTATATCATTATATCAAAAAGATACCTGCACTTTTATGTTTATTGCAGCACTATTCACAACAGCAAAGATATGGAACCAACCTAAGTGTCCGTCAAAGGACGATTGGATAACAGTACACACACACACACACACACACACACAATGGAATACTATTCAACCACAAAAAAAGAATAAAATCATGAATTTTGCAGCAACATAGAAAGAACTGGAGGCCATTATCTTAAGTGAAACAACTCAGAAACAGAATGTCAAATACCAATGTTCTCACTTATAAGTGGGAGCTAAATAATGTGTACATATGGATATACAGTGTGGAGTAACGGACGTTGGAGACTCAGAAGAGTGGGAAGTTGGGAGAGAGGTGAGTGATAAAAAAATTACTTAATGGGTATAATGTACCATATTCAGGTGATGATTACACCAAAAGCCCAGACTTTACCACTGTGCAATATATCTGTGTAAGAAAACTGCACTGTACCCCTTTACTTTATAGAAATTATAACAATAATATATATTTTTGAGATAGGGTCTCACTCTAGCACCCAGGCTGAAGTACAGTGGTATAATCACAACTCACCGCAGCCTAAATCTCTTGGGCTCAAGGAATCTCCTAGTTTCAGCATCCCATGGAGTTAGGACTCCAGGCACAGGCTATCATGCCTGGCTGAATTTTAAAAAATTTGGTTAGAGACGGGGTCTTGCTATGTTGCCCAGACTGGTCTCAAACTCCTGACCTCGAGTGATCCTCCCACCTCAGCCTCCCAAAACGTTGGGATTACAGGTGTGAGCCACCACCTTCGACCACAAATATTTTAAAATATTTTTAAAGAGCCTCTGCTGCACCAGACACAGTGTTAGACTCTGGAAAAATAGAGATGAGCAGTACAGACACAGCTTCTGTTCTCATGCTGCTTAGTACCACCAACCCCTCATCCTGGAGGTCTCTAAGGAGCCTAGATTGAAAATTAGTCATCTAATCTAAGGTCCAGAGAGGAAAAAGCCTTCCTGGTCTTAAGTCATGCTTCGATGTTAAATGTACTTGTTAAATGTTAAATGCATCAAATAAGTGTATTTGATATACAATTAAACAGATCACAGGGTGATGGTCAGGTGAGAAAATCAAAGACTTATGTTATGACTGAGGTTTCCCATATGGAGATGTGGAATAAGCTAGAAAAAGGCTATAAATTGTGCATAAAGCTCCTAATAAAAGAGTGAATGTTTGCCCACCTGAAAACTTAATTGTTTGTTTTTACCCTGCCATTCCCTTTGAAGAGATTGCTTTTGGTTTAGAGTTTAAATTTTTTAAATAAAAACTTGTAATCAAATTTAGAAGAAAAAAATATCTCAGCCCTTTTCATCTAGTAAGAATACTCTGTGTCACTGTTTATCATCTAGTGCTAGAGTGTATCTCAGTTAGGCTTCTCAGATTAAAAAAAAAATAGAAGAAACTAAGAAATAGGGCTTTATCCCTGAAGCATAGCAATCCTATTTATTGAGACTGACAATGCTAAACAAGTTTTAGTTTTGTTTTTCAGACCAAATCTCTTCAAATAACTGACTGACCTTCGGAGTGATGGTCCTCCCAGCTTAACTGAATGTACTGTGCTCTCTGCTTCTAAAAGACAAGTTAGGTAGGGAGGTTCCTTTTTCCAGAAACTGCACAAACTTGTTATTATGCACTGCTAGGCTGCCATTTGATCACAAGGGACCACTGAATTTCAATTATTTCATCCTTGGAGACTAAGAGTTACTTACAATAATAATAAGCAATTTTTCTTTGAGTTTCCTGGCTTTTGGGTCAGACATTCAACTTCTATTGGCCTCAGTTTCTTCATCTGTTATACTAAGATATCAGACTTAAACACCTGTAAGATTTCTTCCAAGTTATTCCAAGATAATCAGTAGCTGTCAATGTATTTTGAAGCCTAAAGGAACTTACTCACCTAGAGAAGTGCAACCCAGGACATTTTCCAAACACCTGGCCAACGCTTCGATATCACTGTCCTGTCAAAATAAGGGAGAAATGTTTATTTTCCCTGTATGGTAGAAGGATACTTAATAACATGGAAAAATGTTCTTACTACATTTAGGCGAAAAAAAAATCTGGTTCCAAAATTATTTCAGTATAATCCTATTTTTAAAAAGAAAAATAACTTTATGTATATCTACATCACTCTCTCCATAACAATCTCTAGATTTATTGCTCTATCTGTCATGGCAAAAACATACAAAAAAATGTTAGCAGTGGTTTTGACTAAAAGATTAAATTATGAGTGATCTTTATTGTCTCCTTCGTGTGCTTATGTCTTTTCCAAATTATCTATAATAAATACATATTAAATCTATAAACATAGTAAATGCTATTAGAATAAAAGAAATATTTTATTCAATTTACAATTTAGTCAATACAGCAGAAATCTAATGCATTTTTTCCCTTGGAGAACAACTAGCTCTTCTTTGGAAATGTATGGTCTTCAAGGAGTGCTAAATCTAAGAATACCACTCGTCATTTACCTTAACCCTCATTAAGAGTCAGACTTCCCCCATAACGGTTGGGGAAATCACAGAACTGTATTTGATTAAAAATATTGTCTTCAATACAAAATAAATTTGTCCTCCACCAAGCAGGCTTGAAATAATCCAAAACAGCATCCTAATGATCTGGGAAAAGTATTAATTATTTTCAGGTTTGTGGTTATACTAAGGAAAATTAAGAATTTATGGCTGGGCACAGTGGCTCACGCCTGTAATCCCAGCATTTTGGGAGTCCAAGGTGGGCAGATCACCTGAGGTCAGAAGTTCAAGACCAGACTGGCCAACATGGTCAAACCCCGACTTGACTAAAAATACAAAAATCAGCCGGGCGTAGCAAAGATTCAGTCAAAGAAAACATCTTTCAGGAGCATATTATGGCCAGTGTGATTGAGAATTATGCTGCTGATTGGAACTTTTGCATTTCTTCCCTGTTTCATAATTTAAATTGAACTTTACTGGAGCTAAGTGGCCTGAGAGAGTAACTGCATCTTGCTAGATGCCAAATTACAGTGTCACCAGCCTTCAGTCATCTCAGCCAAGTGCTGGGAAGCCAGATTTTCAAATGCTGTGAAAATAACAACGGCTTCTTTGTTGATGAACTTAAATGTTCTTCAAGTCTCCTTCCTCCATAGCCACAAACCCCTCCATTATAATAACATGCCTTAGAGACATGAGGAATATCTTGTAAGATTCAATTCTGAAAAACTGTCCCACAGATTCAAGTTTAGTCAAATGCCCACATTTTTTTTCAGAAACCTATGCAGTCATTTCACTAATGAATTAGACATTGCTTTTATGGAGGAATGGTAGCTGTTCTCAAAAGGTCCAGTCAGATCCATGAAGTACATGATAACTATCAATGCCTGCCTAGCAGCCACAGGAAAAAACTATCATATCTGAAGGAATCTCCCTTTTTAGACAATGTCAAAATACAAATATTGAAAATAATGTTTTCTCTAACAATTCCCATTTATTTTTAATCTGGAAAATATAGAAAATTATCAAAGAAAATAAATACCCCAAATCCCACTGCTATTAATACAAACACACACACATAAACATATATAGTCAGTCTTTTCTATATACATCTATCTCTTAGATATTTCAGATCATACTATATATGTATGCTATATGCATGCCTATCTTTTAGATATTTGAGATTATACTATATATGTACGGTATGTGTGTCTATACATAAAATACACAAAAAAACAGTACAATGTACTGTTGTACAATATTGTTTGGAATATTAAATTTATTAAATTAAAGGGAGTTGGTACTGATATAAAAAATGTTTCTGTTTTTAGAACACACATTTCAGTCACTGCATTCTCAGGTATTCCAAGTCAAATATGATGACATCAATAGACTGCATTTTAAAAACATTGTTTGGTTTTTCTGTTTCCAAACAGAAAATGTACAATATTGTTCAGACTTTTTTCTGACGCTATTAAAAATTCTTCAGAAGCATAATTTTAATGGCTGGACCATTGCTCCCTAAAGGCATATCATATGTATTTATCCATACCCTTATCATTGGACATCTAGATTGCTTTCATTTTATTTTGTTTTAAAGAATACTGCAATGACTATCTTTACACATACATCTTTGTTTCATGTTTATTGTTATTTCTTTAGGTTGGCCCATCAGAAATAGAATTACTGGGTCAAGGAATATGACAATTTAGAAACCCTCCTCTTTCTCTGCTCTTACTCTTTTCTCTACACTCCTGCACTTCCCAACAAGTATATTTTCTTCACAAGGAGCTAATATATGCCTTCATATTTATTTTCATTCTCCTATCTATTAAAATATGCTCTCTGTCAAGAAGAGATATGACAGATCCATTAAAACCAAAAATGGTTGATAAAGTTTATGTGTTATCTCTCTCAGGATATTTGTATTTCATAAGGCATATGACCTCATATCAGAGGAGTTAATTTCTAATAGGAAAAGTTTAGGCAGCAGCAAGCAGGCAATCTCAAAGGAGAAAGTCAGATGGGGTCTTCACAGGATTGTAAAAATCACACCATGTAGATCTTCATTTAGTTATCAGGCAGTTGTTTGACAAAATAATCCAGATGATCTCCTCACTTAGAGCTAGTCATAACGAAAGATTCAATTCACAAGAAAAAAACTGTGTCACTTCATTATCCAGTTGTATTTCATTCAGAAAATATTTATTAAATTAAAAGGGGTTGGAACTGATATAAGAAAATGTTTATGTTTTTAGAACAGACATTTCAGTCACTGGATTCTTGTGTATTCCAAGCCAAATATGATGACATCGATAGACTGTATTTTTAAAATATTGTTTGCTTTTTCTGTTTTCAAAAATAAAACCCTGTTTCTAACAACAACAACAACAACAACAACAAAAACCAATTATGTGTCAAATGTATACAAAGACAAGGAAGAGAGATGAAGCCTTAGCCTCCCATTTGGAGAAAAATAATCCTTTTCTGACAGTTTGTTTCTCAAGCTGTTGCTGACAGTCACTTATCCAAGAGACTCTGGTTGTGGCGTACTGTCCAAGCTGCAGCCAACTCCAGTGAAAAAGGTGCAGCAAGGTAGGAAAGAGGTTTTGCCACACCTATTAGGAAACAAACCAATAAAAACCCACTCATGGGAGAAGCCTAGTTCTAAGAGGTTTGTTTTTCCCAAGTCTAAGAACAGTTAGCCTTTCTGTGGATAAAGATTCTGAGAAAGGAGCCAGAGGAAGGCAAGGCTTAAAGACATAAGATGCCATATTCTTCCCTCCTCCACTATCCACAGTGAACTTGCTCTCGCTAAATGAGTTAAAGGGAAAAAAAAATTACATTGACTAAAAACAATAGATAAATGATTTGGTTAAGAAAAATATTGACCAAGTTTGAAACTTAAAGAGTTGGAGATGGAAAACCAATGACAGGGTTTTGTTTGAAAGTTAGGTAAGTGAAAACCATTTACACAGTTCTCATTGAAGCTGAATGGATAACTAAGGGAATGATATCTGTAAAATGATAACTATATATAATATTATGTATATTGTTTGGTAACAAATGAATTGTGACTGTGTGAATGAATGAATGAATGAATGAATGAATGAAAGCTACCTAGCTGCCACAAGAACTTAGTTTGGGATGAGAGCTCAGTTTGAGCACCAGCAGTCCCTTAGAGATTGCATATCTATCTTTAGATGTTCTTGAGAGTCTCCCAAAAGGTTATTCTTTTGCTCACTGCTCCTTCACCTTGAAGGTGTGAAAACTCAGCCATCTGTCTACATCTAGCACCCTCAGCACTCTCCTGGCTGGTAGGCTATACTGACTCCCGAAGGCATATCTAGAGAAGGCTTGGCACATATCAACACACACATAGATGGGTTCAGAGCTACAGAAGTGTTTTATGTTTCCAGTGGCTGAAAGCTGCTCTGAGTGAGAATGGATGCATGCATGCTTTGCTTTCATGCTGTGCTGCCAGGCTTGACACCATGTCCTCCATCTGCCAAACAATCCTGAGCAGGCATAGACCTATAAAGGTATATATAGAGTAGAGTACGCATAACCTTCTATCACAGCCCCAGCTAGGAGAAGTGCTCAGCTGAGCTTCATCTTGCTCAGACCCCAGGCACGTCCTCAGTCAACCTTATGTCAACAGATGTTAGGGTATAAACGGGCTGATTTCTTTCACCTCTTGGTCACCTCTTCTCTCAGAGCCATCCCATAGAGAAGTAAATCCCACCAAATCATGCAAAACCCTCTTCCTCTTCCCTCCTCACCCAGAGTCACTCTGGACCCATGTTTTTTTTTTCCTGAGAGGCTTCATTTGAGTGTATCCAGACCTTCTTGAAGCTGTGGCCAGGCACTGTCCACAAGCAGCCAGGAAGTGGCCTCAATGCAGGCTGCAGACCTATAGAGCTCATCTATCTACATGAATATTGCAACTCTGTTGTAGTTTTTTTGTAGTTTTTCTTTTTTTGATGTAATTATTAATGATGCATTATTTTTATTGAGATAAAATTTGCACATCGTGAAATGCAAGATCTTAAGGGTACAATTCTATGAGTTTTCAAAAATGTATACACCTGTGTATATGCCACCTAAAGCAAGGTAAAGAATATCTCTATCATCCCCAAGATCTTTTTGCTCACTATGATCTTTTTGCTCACTATGCAGTTTCTGGAACGCGCCCAGGTTTTCATGACCTGGAGCTTTCCCTCACTCTCTGTTCCCTCTCTGTGAAGCACTCTTCTCCCAGTTCCCTTTTGTCCCATCAAGGGCTGGCTCCTTTCCATCCTCCAGGTCATGGCTGAAAAGTCAATCTCTAGAAATTCTCCTTGACTTCCCTTATTAGTAGGTCTTCCCTAAACCCCAAATGCCCATTCCTCTATCACTTCAGCTTCTTTGTTTTCTAGTTGCTCTTACTTCTTTGTTTGTGTCCTGGCTAATTGGCTACCTGTACCACTAGACTGTACACTGCATCCATTCATTCACGTATTCCACAATATCTACTAAGTATTTGTTCTGTGATAAACACTGTTCAAGGTGCTGGGAATATAGCAGTGAAAAAAAATAGAATATCTGCTCTACTGGCTTTCATTCTAGCAGAGGGAGACAGGCCATAAAAGAATAAGCAATAGTGGCCACTCAGACGGCAATAAAGACTATGGAAGAAAATAAAGTAGGAGAGGAAAGAGGGGATTCTCAGTCCAGTGAAAGCTATTTCATATAAGGTGGTCAGAGTCCTCCCTGATAAGATGACATATAAACAGAGACTTGAAGACAGGGAGGGAGCAAATCATTTGTGTATCTGGTGGGAAGAGCATTCAAGGCTCCCAAAGCCAGGGACATGCTTGGTGTGTTCCAGAAACTGGAAGGGTGGAGTGAGTGAGGACAATTCTCATGTTGATGGAAGAGAGGGGCTTAGTGAGGTGATGATGATGAAGTACTGAAAAGCCTTTCTTTGCTTTGAATGAGACGGGAGGGTTAGTAGGAGACCAGTAAGAAGCTACGACAAGGTGATGATGGCTTTCGCAGTAGGAATGCAGGTAGTAAGTAGTGGTCAAATTCCAAGTATACTTTAAAGGTCAAGCCAATAGGTTTTGCTTATGGATTGGATATGAATGTGAGTGAAAGGATGTCAGTCGAGGTTGGCTCAGGAGGAGCTAATTTGGACTGAGGGTAGAGTATATGAGGGGCTTAACTTTAGTACATGCTTATTTCAGGATGTCTATTAGAGACTCCTAACCCTACTCCCAGGCAGACTGGATATGTGAGTCTAGAGTTCTTTCGTACATGCTTATTTCAGGATGTCTATTAGAGACTCCTAACCCCACTCCCAGGCAGACTGGATATGTAAGTCTAGAGTTCTGCGAAAATAGAACTGAAGAATAGAAGGCACACATTTAGGAGATGTCAATCAATAAATACTATGTAAATATGTAAGGCTGAGTGAGATCCCATGAAGGTGGAACTATGTCTATTGTGTTCACTACCATATACCCAGTGCTTAGACCATTCAAATATGTGATGCATAAATGAATGACCCAAAAAGTAACTCATCTATGTTGCATTTCTAAAAGTGTTTTCTTGAGACAGGGTCTCATCTGTTGCCCAGGCTGGAGTACAGTGGCTTAATCATCGCTCACTGCAGCCTCAACCTCTTGGGCTCAAGTGATGTTCCTGCCTCAGCCACCCAAGTAGCTTAGTGCCACCATGCCACCATGCTCAGCTATTTTAAAATTTTTTTGTAGAGATTAGGTCTCACTATGTTGCCCAGGCTGCTCTCAAACTCCTGAGCTCAAGCAATCCTCCCACCTCAGCCTCCCAAAGTGCTAGGATTACAGGAATGAGCCAATGTACCCAGCCCCACCTACTTTTTTCTCCAAGTTGCATTTTTAAACTATCATCTACTCTCCCACAAATGGTGTCCAGAACAGCCCTGGAAAATGTCACTAAGTTACAGAAACCAAAACACCAAGGTGACCTTATCCATCTTCTTCACACTCAGATGTACCTTTCACATCTCAGCTTGAACTCATTAGAAGCCAAGCCCTTGCTTATATGCATTCATAATTCATAGGAAGGCAGAAGATGCCGTTTAGCACAAAGCCATAGGACAGAGCTGATGGCACCTTTGTGAGGGCTTCCCTGAAATCAGGAAGCTAATATCGTAACTCCTATCTCACTACTGATGGTGGCCTTCTGCCTTAAAGTGTGTGCGGTGATAGGAACACAGAGCCACATCTGCAAAACTCAAACTGCCAACAAGCCCCCACAGCTCCCATAAGACTAAAAGCCTCTTTCACTGAATTCCGAATTGCTGAAACGTGACTGTCAACGTGTCCACATTTCACTGCTAATGCCTTGTTTACTCTGCATTATTAAAACCTTCTAACTGCAGCTGTCTCTTATTAATGCCCAGGTTCTCGGCAAGTCAATGCCTGTGGGATTGCTTTAGGGTTTCAAAGACATTCATAGGTATCCAATGACAGAACTCTTAAGACATTTAGAATTACGGTTTAGAAATGTAAAGGATAAAGAGACGAAAAAAAAGCAGGGCTGATAGAATGGCAACGTAACACCTACCCAAAACAGGGCAATGGATTTTCCAGGAACTGGTGAGGCCTGTACTCCCTCTGCAACAATCCATTTCTAGAATTCCAGCACAGTGAAAGAAAAGCTACCTCTAATCAATCCTTCCACTTGCTCTTTATTAACTACTTAATCTCTTTCCACTCTATACATACAATAGCCTAGAGAAGAAAGTCCTGCAATTTAAGGGAGGTTTATTGCCACAAAAACACAAGAATTTTTCAGTCCAAAAGATAGTCATTGTGATACACAGTTGTTTATTGCAGATTTCTATTTTTAACTCTAGTTTTAGCTTTACTTTTATTTAAATCCCACAGAGTAAGTGAAAAATGTAGCCCTGTGATTTAAACATGATTTTAAATCATCAGCTCATAGTCCATTTTCACACACTTTGGAGCTGTCACTTAGGTCCCAAGAATCTCCTTTTCTTCTCCTTTACCAACTTCTACATTAAGTTCTATACTTACTCCAAATTCCTAATAGTTGGTACAACGAATATTTGCTGGTTTAAACCCCAGCTCTGTCATTGGATGGGGTAACTTAGGTCAAATTAGTTAATCTGTCTGTTTCATAGTCTTCTCATTTGTAAATGGTGAGAGATGTTAATTGCATTGAGTGCTGTGAGTATGAATGGGATAAGGCATGTAAAGGGTTTGGCACAACACCTGGATGCTGCAAGGTAGCTCTGTCTTATTATGACTGGTGTTTTCCCAGGGATGACATAGACCCCTGTGCCTTCAGATTACCAGGTTATGTGGGAACAATGCACCCCCAACAATGGCCCCCATGTGTCACAACCCTTTCCTCCCAGGCTGGACACCATGAAATGGTATTTACTCTCCCTGTCTAGGTGAATGAAATATTCAGAAAATTAAAATAAATTTCTGATCACAAAACAGTTGGATGGGACTTGTATTTTTCTGTTTGCCAACGCTGTTTAGGATGGTTTTCATATTTTTTGCAGGGTTTCTGTGCACCATATGGTCAGGGCACCTCAGCTCTGATGATAGCTAGGGAAACAGGGATTAATGTAGGGTAGTGGAGGGAGAAGATTGTTGGAGAGAAAAGCACTAGAGGGTCCACTGCAACTACTCTTATCAGCTGTGTCTCACCACTCTCACCCCAAAGTTCCAGGAGCAGCACAGCGGAGCACAGGGCATCTCACAGTGAAGGTCACCGTCCCTTTATTTGCCCATTGACCTGTGGACCTCTGATCAGCCACCAACAAGGGAGACTGTGGGGCTGGTGACCTCTCCATCTTCACACTGAAGGGAACACTCAGACACTTTGCATTCCTGCTCAGATTTGCTTTGCCCTTTTTTCACCCTATTGCCTTTCTCCTTTTTCTCCATGCTTTGGTATTGGGGTGAAAAATGTAGGTGTGATCCTAAACCCTATAATGGACCTAATTTTAAAGACTTAATGACTAAGCCTCCTACAAAGCCCACAAACTCACGCATGTACCCCCTGAACCTAAAATAAAATAAAGGCCAGAAGAAAAAAAAAGAATAGTATATCAAATTGTTAAGAGAAGTAAGTGATATAATGTAAAAAAAAAAACAAACCCCACTGTGCTGTATTCCACAGCAAGGTTTGACTGGTCCTAATATGACTAGCAATGAGCTATGCTTTGATCTGGACAAGAAATGGGAGAGAGAGAAGGGGGAAGAATCATGACGGAAATGAGGGCTGGGATGGGGGGTAGGGGTGGAAATTGTCACCTCAAAGTCTCTCCTTTGAGCAACACACAGTCTACAGAAGGCCCATCACCTAGAAGGAATGACACACCAAACTGGGAGTATCCACTAACACTGTAGCAAGGCTGATGGCTTTACAGCCTGGGACACAGGCCAGCGGAATGCTAATGGAAAAATGATCGACAATCTGAAACAGCTGGGAGTCTGCTTTTTAGAACTGATGACCTCTAAGGTCGATTTAAGACAAAAAGTGTTTCTTCCCAAGTATGAAGGTAAATTAATTAGGTCAGATCATGTAAAAATAACAGGCAAATAAGTCCCACTACTGGGACTCAACAGTTCTGGCAACTTATCTTAAAAAAGAAAAGGACATAGTAGGAGGAGATAAATCTGTATCCCATAACAGATGAGAGATGTTGGGTCTTTTTTGTTTTACTTTTCATAACTCAGCACTCTTCCTGGAACTGGTTTAAATTTTGCCTTGTACATAGCACAGTCATTCTGTTTAGTAAAAAGGTCTTGCCAGAGTACCAGATAATGCAATGGCCCTGCAGCTATTCCCTTGCACCTAACGCATTTACTCTATCATCAGTGGAGGAGAAGCAATTCTAATTGTTGTGCAGAGGAAAGACTGTATAAAGCAGAGGCTAAAAATAAATTCATACAGTCCAGTTCTGCTACTTACTAGCTGTGTGGTCTTGGAGATGTAACTTAATTTCCTTATGCCTCAGTTTCCTCTTGTGTGAAGTTAGGATGTCACAAACAGTATCTTTCAAGGGACCTAGGTTTTAAAGTCAGCACTTGAAATATCCTCCACTGCTGTTTCTTTTTTGAGCAAATGAAATAGCTGATTTGCACGTAGGGACTAGATTGTGTGAAAAATATGTATCTGAAATACTGGAAGTCTACAACAATAATTCAAAGCAACAAGAGGCTTACAGTCTGAGAGATGCAGGAACTGAGATGCAGTAGAGGGACTGGATTTATATCTCTCAGCTCATTTTGACTCTGGAGCATTCAGTAAAAGTCACATGAAATCCCTAACTCATGATCCCTTCCTTTCTCCTACCTTCACCTTCTCCTTTATCTCTGCCTTCTCCCTTATTTGAATTCCAGCCAGTTAAATTCTAGTTTGATGCAGTTCATCTAGAATATATGCATCAGAGTTGTTGCAAGAATTAAATGAAATAATACACCTGTGACAGCCATGAGATCTGCCACTTACAAGTCCCTTCAAGATAGACCCTGCTGCAAGGAGCCTAGTGATCTGACAGCCCTCGGCTACAACACCTTCGGGATCCAATGCAGGGTCCACGCTGAGGCCCTGCTCTTCCCAGGCAACTCCCAGGCAATGTAAGCACTATGGGGAAGTTAGGGCCAGGCCATTCTTTCGCAGTGCTGGACTCCAGCAACACACCTTGCGCTCCCTCTTGACAGGGCCAAACCTTTTTCAGAATTGCAGTGCAGCCTGAGGCTCCCATCCAATTGCTCCCTCTCTCTCTCCCTCCCTCCCTCCTTCCCTACCTTCCTTCCTGCCTGCCAGCCTGCCTGCCAAGGTTTTATCAGAATTGCACTGCAGCCTGAGGTTCTCATCCAACCTTCCTTCCTTCCTTCCTTCCTTCCTTCCTTCCTTCCTTCCTTCCTTCCTTCCTTCCCCTCAAATATATCAGTATGGTTTAAGACTCCTCCCACCTACTTGATAGGAATTTCCTTTTTATTTCTAATTCTGTCTCATCACCTGCTTCCTGGAGTACCTGAACTGACACAGCATGCAAAGTACCGAGCATAGAATGAAGATTCTGGAAATACTAGCTGTTACTGTTATCATTACTATGATCTGATTAAACTAATGACTCAACTAACAGCAGGAACTCTTGGAGGCACCTACCATCATGACAATCAGATCCAAGGGTCCTCAGCAGAATCTCAGGCCTTGCCTATCGCATATCCAGTTCTCTGCCCCGGGACAATGTTCCAAGAAGAAAATCAATTGTTTTTCCTAAGAATTTCAAAACCTCTGAATGATTTGGGGAAAAAGCATTGAGAACTTCAGAATTAACTGGAATAGTGGAACTCTGCCGCCTTTCATCTTAGGAAGAACAAACACCATAGTCCTGAAGAGCCTTCTTAAAACAAGCCTCAGTGACAGCCACATTCATTAAACAAAGCCCTTCCGAGGAAGATTTGTGTCGAGTCATTATTGTCCACCTAGTATGTGTATTACTGGATGCATCTGAGCCATTTATTAGTCTTGGAGAGAAAAATGATAGTCAAGGCAGCAAAGGAAAGACAGAAGAGTCTGTGAAAACACTCGTCAGCCTGTAGCCCTAAGCCATGTCCATTAGAGCGCATAAAACACTTTTTAGTGACAGGTTGCACAAGTGTTGTGGAGAACCCTGTTATGACGGCAGCTATAAACTCAATTCTCCTGAGATCTAAGATGCTGGCTCCAATTCAGTGACCACAGACTTGGCAGAGGAGCCATCAACAATATGATAATGGCTTGTGATAAAGGTTTTATTGATGCTGTGCTTATCACAGCAGAGAAACAGTTGGCAATCATCAGCAATTAGGTGCTTAATAAAACTGCTTTGGAGACACTGCTACTAAAAAGATTGTCATGGGTGGCACAAAGAACTCAGTAATCAATCTCAATGAAGTCCATGGCTGTGTTTCTTTTTGAAAGCACTTCTTTCATCAAAATAACTATGTGACTTTGGCTCCATCTAAAGGAAGGGGAATCAACTTTGATCTGATTACACACATAGAAGGCATTTGTGTGATGACCATCTAAGCAGACCCTGGCACACTCAGAGGTCCAGGGCAAGACCAGGGAAAGGGGAGAAGAGGCCAATCTGAGAGATGGCAGCAGGTCTCTCTCAATTCACAAAGTTGACCATGACTGAGTTCTGTAGTGTAATTTGTATGTTGCTAATGAAAATAACCTGAAAGGGAAGAGTCCACATTCATCACCTTTGGGGAAGGAGAAACTACATTGAATTACTGGAAGAAAACAAATGGGGTTGTAATTACCTGTCTCTAATACAAATTACTCTATTGTGTAATTGTTTTTGCTACTCTAAACAAATTACTCTATTTTTTGCTAATCTATACAAATTGCTCTACTGTGTATTGTTTTTGCTACTATAGAATGTATATTGACCTAGAATGGACTTGGCAACACTTCTGTTTCCCTTATGCCAAGTCCATTCTAGGTCAATATATATTCTATAGTAGCAAAAACATTGACTTGAGAATGTGACTGATGTGGGCCTGAGGCATGAGTCTGATCCTTGCCTAGCTACGTGACCGCAGGAAGGCTACACCTCTCTCAGAAACTAACTTTCCTCAATTAGAGTGAGCAGAGATCATGCCACTGCACTCCAGTCTGGGCAACAGAGCGAGACACTGTCTCAAAAAAAAAAAGAAAAAAAAGAAAATAGGAATAAGATAACTACCCAACAGGGTTTGTGAGACAAAATACCACCATGTATGTGAGAGGCTGTATTTAGTCTGTTCTCACACTGCTAATAATGACATACGTGAGGCTGGGTAATTTATAAAGAAAAAGAGGTTTAAGGGACTCACAGTTCCACATGGCTGGAAAGGCCTCACAGTCATGGTGGAAGGTGAAAGCCATGTCTTACCTGGCTGCAGGCAAGAGAGAATGAGAGCAAAGTGAAAAAGGAAACCCCTTATAAAATCATCAGATCTCGTGAGACTTATTCACTACCATGAGAACAGTACTGGGGAAACCACCCCATCATTCAATTATCTCCCACCATGTCCCTCCCATAACACATGGGAATTATGGGAGCTACAATTCAAGATGAGATTCGGGTGGGGATATAGCCAAACCATATGAGAGGCCTTAGCATCTTGTCCCAATAGATTACTTAAAATCAATCACAATCTGTCATGTAACATGTGATAGATATACAACCCAGAGAACAAAACTGCTGCCCTTATGTTTATCATCTGCCTTAAGACTAATAAGAAGGAATTTTTAAAAAATTACTTAAAAGCAAGTTAGAAAATCTCACTTTAACATTAAGGAGTTTTGGCAGTATCATAAAGAGGTACTGGATACCTTGACTGAGTAACTTCATAATAATAATAGCTAATATCTCATGAAGTATTTTATTAAATTCTGAGCATTATTCTAATTACTTTATATTGATTACTTCATTTAATCCTCAAAACCACTCTGTGAGGTAGAAACCATTATTCTCCCACTTTACAGATTAGAAAACTGAGGCACAGTGAAGTTCAGTAATTTGAACAAGGTCACGCAAACTGCAAGTTATAAAGACATGCAAGCAATCTGTTTTCCAACCCTATATTCTAAGTGCCAAAGATGGATATTCTGAGACTGGAAAAATTGTATTTCCTGACCTAGGAGCTGTTTGCCATATAGTATTTTATTCATGTGGTTCTAAATCTGTTTTATTTTCTTAAAAAACATTTCTAAGTGAATATTAGTAGCTAAAATTTTACCGCTTGATGCTTTGACCAAAAATTGAGCACTGTATGTATTTTGCATATCATGTGTTTTGCAACCATAGGCCCAGAATGAAGGCTCTGTAATGCTGCAATAATATCCGTTACAGTTGTTTATGACAGTGGCTCAGAAGGTAGTAGAAATTATATTTTCGATTTGTGGTAGGAGGTGCTGTTGTTTTCCAGATTCCGTTGGAAAAAAATGGGGAAACGGTATAAGCTAAGTTTTTATTTTGGCATTCTGAATCCCCCCTTTAGCTGTATTTTTCTCCAAATGTATTTGTTTCTCTCTTCATGTATTTGTCTCCTAAATTATCTCTCTCTAATCCTTTCTCTTCATCTCTTTCTCCTCTTTATCTCATCCCTTTTTTTGCTTGGCCCCATACCTGTACCCTTCACTTGCCTCTCTCTCTTAATATCAAATTGGAGAGCACTTCTTACTGCTTTTATTTATTGAATATTATGACACATAATCTTTATTAAAATGGTTGAATGGATTTAAGTGGCTGAATGGATTGAATATTATGATATATTGCATAGTCTTTATTAAAAATGGTTGAATGGATTTTTGGAGTGAATCATCTTCACTCCAAAAATCATCTCCTCTAGCTGAGTCTTCACTCAGGTGCCCTTTGGTAGACTTTTATTTTAGTAGCTGCATGGTTCTCAGTTAACAAAAGCTTCTGTAACTCATGGAAGTTTAGGATTGGAAGGTAAGAAGAAAAGAAGGTATGTATGCACATTGCCCAAAGCTTTCCCCTTCATCTTCATAAGCCTCTTGCTTTTTATTCCTCTGTTGCAGACACTCAACACTGAAAGCACATGTCAGGGGTGTTTCTTGACCTATGGCCCATATAAGGCTTAATCTTGCTATAGTTAAAAGAGATCTACTACAAGGGCATAGGGCATATACTCAGAGACTTCACCACTTAAGCAAGAATGTGTCCTCAGAGGCTAAAAGTAGCTAGACAGATTATCCCCTAAGCCCAGGATCTTTGGTTCTGATCCCCAAAACTAAGTCAGTCTTTACAAATTTTATTTGCATTCAATTTGTGAATATGACCCCAAAATATGATTACCAGACAGAAAAGTATATAAAAAGTGCCATTCTCTCTGCTAAAGAGATATTTGCATTTTTTAATTCAATAGCTGTATACGAAGCCCTCCTCAGTGGGAATATGGTGTGTGCCATCTCCCAACCCCCCAAATAAGTGCAGCATGCTCCAGTTCTTCCCCCATCAACATGGTCCAGATCAGATTCTCCAAATTCCATAGGGCCCTGCCTGCCTCTGGACCTTGAAAAGCCAGACTTACCACAAGTAGCTATTATAATAACCCTGTTCCCCATGTCCCCAACTTCACCTTATAAGACTTCCTTTCTTCTCTGGGAGAGTCCAATCAGTACCTTGAACAGTTCCATGGCTTCCGACAGGGAGCATTACATACCTGTTGGTTTGTTCTGTAAGCAGGCTGGGATCCCTCATTCCTGATTTCTTTCTCTGGTCTTTCTAACGCTATTTCTTCTTCCTCCTCATCACTCTCTTCACAATAGGAATCAAATGCATCAGCGTAGTACTCTTCAGCCACAAGTGGGTCTTCTGGGATCTCTGAAATAATGAACAAACAGTCAGATACTACCAGTTATTAAAATTATAATGAGGTAAGAATACTGTATCTTTTCACAGGGATGTATATTTTGCTTGCGTTGACAAAGCTTCCATGGAGTGTAGAGCTGAATCTCAGCTTCCTGGAAGTATTTGGTTGAATGTAATAAACACTCAGCAAAATAAAACCAGTAGAGGAAAGGAGGAACATTTCCATTAGCAACTACCGTTTGAAGGTAAGAAAAAAATCATTAAATAAGAATAAATAATATGCTTTAACATTTTGACATTTGGAGGCATGAATCCTTATTAAAAATGAGGAAATTTAGGGGCAAAGGTAGGACAAGATGTCCTGGCTGAAGGGTCCTATTACACAACACACATAAAGTTTTTAGCATAGGAAGTTGGAGCAAAACTACCACAGCATTTTTCCTAGATATTTCTTTTTTTTTAAATGTTACTGGTAGGACCAAACAAGATGAATAGGATATATAGCAGCATCATTTTGGCAAGCTGGGAAAAACACAATTCTTTTCTAACAGGTAATGATGGCTTTTGAGATGGAGTTCACTCTGGTGGGTCCTACTTACTCAACCTTACATTCAGCACTTATTTTAAAAAAGAATACCCACCTAAGCTGATGACAATAAGCATCTACCCAAGTTACTTGATGCAACATTGTTAGTAACTAGAATAAAGTTGGTGTTTATAACAATCTTCAGTGAAGAAAGGCCATGAATGGATCACAAGAAAGCATAACAATATAATTTACTAATGGGGGGCTAGAAATAAAGAACTACCCAAACAACTACCCTTGGGCTGGGGGAGGAGAAAATTAGAATACTCAGCTGCAGCAAAACAATGGGCATTTTAGACTTTGCACCATACTCAGACTTAAAATTAAAATTTTTCTTCCAAATTGTAACACATTATTTTTCAATCTATTGTTGCTATTTCTGGTCTAGTGGGAAAAATATGAAATTTGGGGTCAGAAAATCAAGGCTAGAATCTAGCTCTTCCACTTTTTAGATGAAAATTTGTGCAAGAGACTTAAACTCACAGAGCTCCAATTTCTGTGATAAAATTAACATAAGTGTAATCTAGTAGAGTGGCTGCTGAGATTGAGTAATAGAATTCTCATGAAAGCATCGGTATGCAGGGAAGTTTCATACAAATGTTCACTCAATTTCCAAGTCTGTACAAATGGGCTTTTCATTAAATGAGTCCAGAATCCTTTGAAAGTAAGATACTTAATGGATGTAGAATTCCCTGGAAATAGAAGATGTTAAAATGTGTTTGTTATCTATGGTTTCCCACTAAAACATAAAAGGCTGCTGTACAGTAGAATAAAAATTAGTCAGCTCAAAAGACAAAAATTACATATATTCAAAATTGCCTTTGCCAGTTCCTTAGAAAGCAGTGTACTAGGGATCTCATACCTTCTCTCAGCAATTTCAACACAGCGTATTTTTTTTTTTCACATCAGTTCAGATCACTGATTTTCAGCTGAGCAACAGATGAGATAGAATACTGTTATGGAGAAGCCATAGTTTTTATTATTTTTATTATTTATATTGAAATAATATATATTATTTTTATTAAACGTGGCTTCTAGTCATTATATCAAGAAGACACCTGCACGTGTCTGTATGTACACATATATATATAACATACCTATACACATATGTACATGCATATAGAACTTCAATACCTTTTGCATACAAGTGGTTTTTGGTTACATGGGTGACTTTTGTAGTGGTGAAGTCTGAGATTTTAGTGCACCCTCACCGAGTAGTATACACTGTACCCAATATGTAGTCTTTTATCCCTTACCTCCCTCCCACCCTCCTCCCTTCTGAGTCTCCAAAGTCCATTATCCCACTCTGCATGCCTCTGTGTACCCATAGCTTAGCTCCCACTTATAAGTGAGAACATATGGTATTTGGTTTTCCATTCCTGAGTTACTTCACTTAGAATAATGGCCTCCAGCTCCATCCAGGTTGCTGCAAAAGACAGTATTTCATTCTTTTTTTAATGGCTGAGTAGTATTGCATGGTGTATATATGCCACATTTTCTTTATCCACTCATCAGTGATGGGCAGTTATGTTGGTTCCATATCCTTGCAATTGTGAATTGTGTTGTGATAAACATAAACGTGCAGGTGTCTTTTTGCTGTAATGACTAGAAGCCATGTTAATAAAGATCTTCATTTTACTTACACTGAGAACGACAAGAGAATCACAGCATGAGAAGTGTATGAAAACTAAAATCTCCTGAGAGATCTCCAGTTCTGCCATCAAGTAGGGACATGTGCTTGCTGAGTGGAATGAAAGACAGAACCATATGATGTCTTCCTTCTCTTGCCCACCCTCAACTCTCCCTGAATCTCTGTGTCTCTTTCTCTGAGTTGTCCATTCTCCCTCTTTCCCCACTCTTTTCTACTTCCTCTCCCTCTCGAGTCTCTTTGTCCCTTTGACAGTTATTCATTCTCTCACTCATTCATATTTTTCCCTCTTGCTCTCCCATTTTTTCTTTATCTTCATTCCTCCTTGTCCACTCCCTTGGCTTTCAAACTACGACATGGTAAGAAATATCATTTACATTGTTGCCCAGTGCACAGAAATGTGCTTATATATGTATGTTTATAAATATCTTTATAGTCGAAACAAAAGTTTCATACACCAAGACCTATTTACCCAAACTACATATGACACACTCTGGTGTTTTTCATCCTGTTCAATTATTTTTTTAATGCTGGTTGCAACTCACTAAACTGACCTCTCAACCTGCAGTTTGAAAAACACCCCAACCTAGCTAGAGAGGCCAACATTCAGAAACACTCCTTTAGAATGCTGGCTTTGGCATAAAAACAAAATCTGCATTTAAATCAAGCCTCTAGCAATAGCTCTGTAACACTGTGTTATTTAAGCTTTCTGCACTTCAGTTTTCTCATCTATAAAATAAAGATGATAATATTCATCTCATGGAATTGTTGTGAACATTACATAGTATAATGGATGCAAAGTATGTATCAAATAAGGCAAACACTCAGTAGTTTTTCCTGTAATACCCAACACCAGGAAGAAATAAGTCATGCATCACTTAACAACGAGGATATGTTCTGAGGAATATGTCATTCAGGTGATTTCATCATTGTGTGAACATCATAGAGTGTACTTATTACAAACCTCGATGGTATAACCTACTACACATCTATGTTTATGTGGTATAGCCTATTGCTCCTAGGCTACAACCCTGTACAGCATGTTACTACACTGAATACTGTAGACAATTGTAATACAGTGGTAAGTACTTGTGTATCTTAACATTAAAAATGTACAGTAAAAATACAGTATAAAAGATTTTTTAAATGGCACATCTGTACAGGGCTGTTACCATGAATGGAGCACGCAGGACTGGAAGTTGCTCTGGGTGAGTCAGTGAGTGAGTGGTGAGTGAATGCGAAGGCCTAGAACATTACTGTACGCTACTACAGACTTATAAACACTGGACACTTAGGCTACACTACATTTATAAAAAATGTTTTCCCTTCTTCAATAATAAATTAAGCAGCTTACTGTACATTTTTTAAACTTCTTGACTCTATTGTAATAACACTTAGCTTAAAACACAAACACATTGTACAGCTGTACGAAAATATTTTCTTTTTTTCATATCTCTCCTAACTAGGAGATAGTCAATAAGCATTTTTTCTTTCTTTTTCTTTTTCAACTATTTTGTTAAAAATGAAGACACAAACATACACATTAGTCTACTGCTACACAGCGTCAGGATCACTGATACCACTGTCTTCCACCTCCACATCTTGTCCCACTACAAGGTCTCTAGGGGCAGTAACACACACGGAGCCTCCATCTACTGTGATAACAGTGCCTTCTTCTGAAATACCTCCCGAAGGACCTGCCCAAGGCTGTTTTACAGTTAATTTTTTTTAATAAGTAGAAGGAGTACACTTTAGAAAAATGATAAAAAGTATAGCAAGCCAGGCATGGTGGCTCACTCCTATAATCCCAGCACTTTGGCAGGCCGAGGCAGGCAGATCACCAGAGGTCAGGAGTTCGAGAACAGCCTGGGCAACATGGAGAAACCCAATCTTTACCAAAAATACAAAAAATTAGCTGGGTGTGGTGGCGCACACCTGTGGTCCCGGCTAACTGGGAGGCTGAAGTGGGAGGATCACTTGAGCCTGGAAGGTGGAGGATGCAGTGAGCCGAGATCGTGCCACTGCACTCCAGACTGGGTAACAGAGTGAGACCACACCTCAAAAAAAAAAAGTATAGTAAATACATAAAGCAGTAACAGTCATTTGTCATCACTATACTGTACATAAATATATGCATTACACTTTTATATGACTGGCAGTGTAGTAGGTTTATTTACCCAGCATCACCACAAGTATGTGAGTGGCTATGTTGCTCTGCAATGTTATGATGGCTATGATAGCACTAGGTGTTGGGAATTTTTCAGCTTCATTAACTGGACCACCATTGTACATGCAGTCTGTCATTGACCAAAAGATTGTTATGCAGTGTATGACTGTATTAGACAATTGCAAATATATACTCAAGTTTAAAATATTTATTTATTTTAAATAGAATAATTTCTCAAAATCCATACTGAACCCAACTGAAATGGGCAATATGGAATCTCGCCTCTCTGTGGTTTCCTTTCTGTGGACTCCACAGGAACCCGCAGGCATTTCACCACACTGTTCACCTCCCACTGTCCTTCCTGTCCACTGATTCCGTCAAGGTTTCCTTCAAGCAGCTCAGAAGAAACCTCTGCAAGGGGGGTTGACAAATATGTTCTGTAAAGGGCTAGATAGTAAAACAATTTTAGGCTTTGCAGATTACGTGGTCTCTGTCACAACTACCCAACTCTGCCTTTGTAGTGTGAAAACAGACAATACATAAATAAATGAGTGTGGCTATGTCCCAATAAAACTTTATTTACAAACATAGGCAGTGGACCAAGTCATATCTCTACAACACAGACAAACCTTTCTTTTGTTAAAACACTAAGCTCCTCTTCCCAAAACGTAGCTCATTGTGTACAGACAGCCTTAGTCCCTTTCCCTCTCCTACCTAAGATTTCCTCCTAGAAGGGGAAGAAGGAAAGAAGTGGCCAGGGAAAAGTGCCATTCTGCCACCTAAGTTATGAAACAAACTGGAATGAATCTGTCTCCAGTATTTCTTAAGTAAGCACCACTAATTTGGTGCTGCCCACAAAAGGACTCATTTTCATTTTCAAAGGGAAAAGTCAAAAAAAACGTAAGTCCGTTCAAACTGTGTTTGTCACGCCTCATGTTTTTCATACATAGACCCAACTTGAAGCCTTCTTAGCTTAAGATTCCTTTCTCCTGTCACTAAGGGGAAAAGAGTCTGATAAACAGCTTTAATTTCCTTGCACCCTGAAGTCAGCCTCATAATGGGTATACTGGAGTGGCATTCCAGATCTTCTGTATGCCAGGCAAGCAGTAACAGAATGTGTTTATGAAGGAATCCAATAATGGCTGCACGAGTTTGGACACAGATGTTTCAAATCCATGCTGGAAAAACGAAGACATCACCCTGTTCCAGGAAAATGATGGCCTTTATCAGATCCTTCAATTAAGACCCAAATAAATGCCTTTCTCTAAGACTTGTGTGAGCATCAGGATCACCTGTGGGCTTGTTAAAACGGATCTCTGGGTCCCACCCCAAGACTTGCTGATTCAGCAGGTCTGGTGTGGTACCTGAGAATCTGCATTACTCACAAGTTCCCAGCTGATGCTGATGCTGCTGGTTTGGAGGCTGCCCTCTCAGAATCACTGCTCTAGAATGTGACTAGTTCAAATAAGAGTATACACTATAATAAAATCTAAAAGATTTTATACTATTTCTACATATTTCAACCTTTGTATGTTAAAGACAAAACATAAACGTAAGAAAAACTTTACCTTAGAAGAGCTCGAGTTACTGTGCTATTAGTTGTCTAAATTACTTAAAATCTCCATAGAGGTATAAGTAATTCAACTACTCCCATTTTGTTGATAGAAAAGAACAAAGCTAAGGGTGAGCAGCCCAAAGTTATAATCTTTATATTTGTGTGCATTTTACAGTTTAAAAAGCATGCTGATATACATTTGATACCACAAAAATTTGATACCATTTAATAGCACAAAGATACCATTTGATCTTTGCAACAACTCTTCAATGTAGACTAGAATGACATTTTTCTGCCCACTTTTCAGATAGGAAAAGTAAGGTTCAGACAAGCTAATGACCAACCGAAGGTCACACTGCTGCATCTGAATCCCCTTTCTTTCACTGAATAAGTCTATTTATGGTTAGTTAGAAATTTTCATCTTTGCTAGTAAAACCATTTCAGAAAGGTCATGATTATCTTTCTTGTAGCTCTGAAAGATATTAGACAACAAGGGATAGACTTTTGACTTACGAGATAGAAAAACTGAAGCTTAGTCATCCTGGTAAACCGTCTTAAGGGAGCTGGGAGAATCAGATTCAGCCTGAGCCTAGTTCTCACTACCATCTATCTCAGATGTGTCAAACTTGAGTGTGCCTCAGAATCAGCTGGAAGCCTTGTTAAAACAGATTCTTGCTCCCACACCCAGTGTTTCTGATTCAGTAGGTCTGGAATGGGGCTTGAGATTCTGCATTTCTAACTATGCCACTCGTCTGGAAACACACTTTGAGAACTATTGCTCTATCTTATAGAACCTTCGAGGAGAAAATGACATACAGATGCAACTGTTAAATGAAAAACTCCCTGTCACTTCATCTACTGCATTAGCTCTTTAAACTGCTAAAACGATCCAGATATACATTAACAATTTTTTTAAAAAAGAGTGTTTTCATAAAACAGGAACTTTGCCTGAAGAGAAAACCAAGTTTCCTCTAAAGGAACTTAGTTCCTTTTAGACATTTAGAAGATCTCAGCCTGTGGGCCCACCACCATCCCAGATGGTTTTAACCATTAGAATGCCTTAAGCAAATCCATGTGACAGGCTTCCCAGAATGGTTCTTAAAGGGTGGTCCCCAGAATAGCAAGAACAACATCACCTGGGCTCTTATTAAAAATAAAAATTTCCAAATTTGCCTATACCTCCAACCTACTGAATCAGAAACTGGGATGAAGGTCCAGCAATGTGTGGTTTGACAAGCTCTCCAGGTGATCCTGATGCACCCTTAAGTTTGAGAACCACTAATTCAGCACAATGACTGGCACTTTATGTCTGCTGAAATAAAAATCCCTTCTAATATTCCAGGTAGATGGTAAGCTCCAGGAGGGCAGAGGCCACACCCATCCTGCTTACCATGGTATCCCCAACACATGATTCAAAGCAGACACCCAAAACTTCTTGCTGAATAAATGAGTACATAAATCTCTAAGAGATAAGGACTTTCAAATTGCCACATAATATCATATACAAAGAATTAACTAATCCTTTGGGAGAGTAACGTGGAGAGGGGAAGCTGAGGAGAGGAAGGAGATACAGATGTTTTTCCTAAGACTCCCCCACCCCTTTCCTCTTTTTCACATACTTTGAACTTATATCTCAGATGTAGTCATACCTTCGAACTGCAAAAAATGTCTTCATCGTACTAAAACTTCCAGTTACATCCTGCAGGCCCACTCAGTCAAGTCCCAGAACTCAGTCAAGAGGACCCAGAGTGTGACAGCAAATGCTGTTAGGCTGGAGCTTTCTCCAGGTGCCCTAGAGTCTGCCCCGGACACCCTGCCTCTCTCTGCATATCTAATCATAGTTCAGCATTAAAGTTTGCGGAGCTGGCTGTCATGGGGCAGACAGAGGGTGGGTGGTGGGAGCCCTCAGCAGAAGGCAGCTACCAAAAGATGTCCATCTCTATTTGTCCTTTCTTTTCTAGTTTTCTGAAGAGGGTAATGGCTTTATTACACCAAGCCAGAAAATACTGAACAAGGCTATTATAAGGCTCTAATAAGAACAAACTGATTTATTCTTGTATCTCAATGTGGCCTCTATGAAGACCATGTTCATTCATTACAAATTGGGAGTGGCAGTGCTTAGAATGATTACAGTTATTATTTGTATTAACATGACAGCCATCAAAGCATTTCTTAATTTCCCAAAAATAACATTTGTGGGTGTGAAAAACTGCTCAAATTCATTTTTAATAAAAACATTAAAAATAAAAATATTATTTTCTCATATGTATAGGAAACCTATGATTAATATGCTACAACGTCCCCAAAACCATAAGATTTTTTTTTACCTTTTACATAAGGTAAAAGTCAATACTTTGAGAAGACACACAGACATAGGCATTGTGCTGAGTTGCCTCAATTTCCCCCAGAAGCTCCATTTTGTATAAGGTAAGCACAATTTAGATGAAAACAAAACAAAACAAAACAAACAAAAAACCAAAAAGAAATTGAAGTCAAAGTTAACTGGTGACATCTGCTGCTTCTGAGAAAAACTGCCTTGCAACAGAAGTGATGATACAAAGTAGTGACTAGGAGGACCACCTGTAGGGTCAGATGGCAATCAAATTCTGCCTCCGTTGCTTATTGGCTGTGTGACCTCAGGTGGGCTACTTCACTTCTCTGGGTCACGGTGTTCTCATTTGTAAGTGGGTGTAGTGGCTACTATCAATGCCCCACACAAATTCTCTTCCCAGACACACTCCAAAGTATAATTGGCACACCCTCGTCTGCTAGCTGCTGTGCATGTTGGCTGCTGTATTAAGTCAGCCAGAGCTGTAATGAGAAGATACCACAGATTGGGTGATTTAAACAATAGAAATTTATTTCCCAGAGTTCTGGAGGTTGGAGATTAAGGGGCCAGCAGGGTTGGATTCCTCTGAGGCCTTTCTCCTTGGCTTCCCTCTTGCTGCTTCTTCACAAGGTCATCCTCTGTGCATGCATACCCTGGTGTCCCTGTGTCCTAATCTCTTATTCCTCTTTTTTTTTTTTGTATACTTTAAGTTTGGGGATACATGTGCAGAACATGCAGGTTTGTTCCATGGATACACACGCGTCCTGATGGTTTGCTACACCCAGGTTTGCTGCACCCATCAACCCATCATCCACATTAGGTATTTCTCCTAATGCTGTCCCTCCCCTAGTCCCCCACCCCCTGACAGACCCCAGTGTGTGATGTTCCCCTCCCTGTGTCCATGTGTTCTCATTGTTCAACTCCCACTTATGAGTGAGAACATGCAGTGTTTGGTTTTCTGTTCTTGTGTTAGTTTGCTGAGAATGATGGTTTCTAGCTTCATCCATGTCCCTGCAAAGGATGTGAACTCATCCTTTTTTATGGCTGCATAGTATTCCATGTTATATATGTGCCACATTTTCTTTATCCAGTCTATCATTTTTGGGCATTTGGGTTGTTTCCAGGTCTTTGCTATTGTGAATAGTGCTGCAATAAACATACATGTGCATGTGTCTTTACAGTAGAATGATTTATAATCCTTTGGGTATATACCCAGTAATGGGATTGCTGGGTCAAATGGTATTTCTGGTTCTAGATCCTTGAGGAATCACCACACTGTCTTCCACAATGGTTGAACTAATTTACACTCCCACCAACAGTGTAAAAGCATTCCTATTTCTCCACATCCTCTCCAGCAACCCTATCAAAAAGTGGGCAAAGGATATGAACAGACTCTTCTCAAAAGAAGACATTTATGTGACCAACAAACATATGAAAAAAAGCTCATCATCACTGGTCATTAGAGAAACGCAAATCAAAACCACAATGAGATACCGTCTCATGCCAGTTAGAATGGCGATCATTGAAAAGCCTAATCTCCTCTTCTTATGAGGACACAGTCAGATTGGCTTAGAGCCCACCCTATCAGCCTCATTTTAATTTAACCACCTCTCTAAAAGCCATGTCTTCAAATACAGTCACATTCTGAAGTACTGGGGGTTAGGGCTCCAACATATGGCTTTTAGCGGGGACTCAGTGAAGCCTATAACAGTTGCTGACAGCACACAGATACTCTATTCTCCACAGAATTGTTCTTGGATCAAAGAAGCCCTCCTTACTGAAAAGATGATGCCACATCTCTGCCCCAGGGGCAGTCCTGGCCAATGACTGAGTGACTTAAGGTAAAACCATCTTTGTGGTGTTACTCATGCCCCAGAGCTCCCTGTGTGAGCAGACTGAGGCTAGTCTCCAGCTGAGACCACATCCTTGCTCAGCTCCTTTTATCTGGACACAGCCCCCAACCCCACACCAAACTCTATATACACACACCCACATCCTTAGAGCTCTCCACAATAAGATACATGCACCAGATACCCATCTCAGGCTGTGCTTCTAAGGAACCCATCTAAAGACTTGGACATTATAATAAAAATATCTTGACTCATGGTTACAAAACAAAATATAAAGGATAAGAGATAAACATCTCTTAAAGAAAAATAGTCAGGTGCCAGCAAAGTCACATTCTTTAATATTATAACTTTAATCCTCAGACCTTCAAGAAAATAATAGAGCCCACATCTGTGGCACTGCTAAAGTGAGTCCTTTGTCAGATATCAATTACATCTCAGATGACTAAATTTTTTTCTCTCTGGAGGTTTAGTCTCCTGGCCCTCTTCAAAGTCTTCTTAAAATGCTTCATCTTGCATAATGTCCAGAACATGGTAGATGCTCCATAAAATGGCACTTATTAATTTAGTAGGTAGAAAGATTCGCTTTTATAATTGTTGTTGTGAGAATTTTTTTTAAGAAATTGTATTTAGAAAAATACCTAATAAAAGTGCAGGGAAAGAAAATGATATGATCCCTTCTGCCAGGGAACAAGAGGAGGGCTTTGGCCCTGTTCCAGAAAGGTGGAGGGAAAGAGAGTGGGAGGGGCCAGAGTGAGATGGTGGCCGATCATGTGCTCTGTAAGACGCCAAATTCACCCGAAACTTAGCATAAATGTACCATCTAGGTTTGTGGGAGTACACTCTATGATGTTTGCTCAATGACAAAATTGCCTAAGGACACATTTCTTTGAACGCATCCCCGTTTTTAAGTGATGTGTAACTGTACACATAAAGGGCCAACAGCATAGCTAGAGGAAAACACTTCCCAGGCAGAGGTCACCTGTCCTTCAGGATGACAGCTGAACTCTCCCAACAAGATAAAAACCACTCCTAAAACCCCAGCTTTCCATTCTCCCAGCAGCTTATAAGGATACCCAGTCTCTCCCTCCCCCATGCCTTCCCCGGCACTATTAAAGAAAAAAAACTGACTCTTCTGATACTTTGCTGTTTGGGAAAAGGCATTTTATCCATCTCAAAACTTCAATTCAACATATATTGTATTTTATTTTTTCCTTTTCAATTTTTAAAAGCAATCTCTCTCCCCACTGTGAACCATGAAATAGTTTATCAGAGTTATGCAGTGAGTCATCGGCTGGGCCTCGAACACTGTGTTCACGGTGTCCTAGTTCCCGGTGACAGCAGTTAAGATTGCTCATTGGAGCTCAGAAGTCATAGAGAGGGAAGGGCACACTCTGAGACCCACAATTGTTCCTTTCCCTGGTGACTCATCCCCTTTTATGATACCATGGGCCCCTGCTGGAGGTCCCAGAGAAGCTGTTACTCCACATGCCAAATGGCTGCTGCATCTCTATTTCATTACAAAGAGCCCCCTCTGCGCCCAAGGGAAGCAACTGTAATTTTCAATCACCGTAACATTTAGTGGGACTGGAGGCATGCAGCAGCATATTTGCTAAGAAATGTTTCAAACCAATGTTCAAGCCAGAGAAGAATATGGACAGCCCCCAGTGAAATAAACACACTCATATTCTGAGGGAGAAATGAACAGTCCAGGTATCTTTTAACACTCAGGTCTGCAATCATCTCCTATCTTCCATTGGCATCATGTCTTACACAGGCTGCTGCAGAAATGTTTTGAACCAATGTTCAAGCCAGAGAAGAATATGGACAGCCCCCAGTGAAATAAACACACTCATATTCTGAGGGAGAAATGAATACTCCAGGTATCTTTTAACACTCAGCTCTGCAATCATCTCCTATCTTCCATTGGCATCATGTCTTACACAGGCTGCTGCAAGCCTTGCCTAATGCACTCACCATGTGACTCTCCCCTTTCAATGAGGCCCTCGCTGCCAATAAAATTGAGTATAAAATCTTAAGTTTGGCAGGCAAGACCTTTTATCATTTGCAACCCACATTCCCAGATCTGCCTCTTCTTACCAATGAATATGGTAGATCTCATTTAAAGGTTATGTACCAAAAGACTCTGATTGGGCTGTCCTGGTCTGGGTCTAGGAAGCTTTATTTTTCTGATGCTTTCCAGATAGTTCTCATATGTACCTTCAGAATCCTGGCTTTCATAACCTGAACTCTGTATTTTTCCCTGAATTCACTCTTGCTTTCCCACTTCATCTCTTTAAAGTACCACTTCTTTTAGAATTGACCTAATATGGTAGACACTAGCCACTTGTGGCTATTTGAATTAAAATTATTAAAATTAAATAAAATGACAAATTCAGTTGCACTAGCTACTTTTCAAGTGCTCAATAGTCACCTGTGACAAAATTATAGAATATTTCCAACACTGCAGAAAATTCTACTGGACAGCACTGTTCTAGGCTGTCACCTCTCTAAATAGAGGGGCACAGCCTCCGCTTTCAGTTTGGCCAGATTTCTTTGAAGCTCTGGGATGTGAGTCACTTTACCTCTCTGATCCTCAGTTCCTCTCCTGGCCAGCACACCATCTACCATCACCAATCCCCACCTCTGCAAAGAGAAGGCAGAATCTCCTGGCCCTTGAAAGTGCTCCAGCTCTCACAGTTGTGGATGTAGCAGGGGAGAGGTAGTGTCTCCATCGCACCCCAGCCCTAAGCCTCTTCATGTAACTGAGTGCCATATCAAAGGATGTATCCAATCAAATCTTCTCATCTGTAAGATGCCCTTTTCTGCCTTCTTTTACACCATATCTACATGCACAGGTTGAATAAATGCCCAACCCCAGCCTTCTGGGCAACCCCCTTGCCCAGAGAAAGGCAAGCTCACAGACCTCCCACACCCCCATGGTAGACAATATCTTTCTTTTCTTTTTTTTTTATATATTTTTTTGTTATACTTTAAGTTCTAGGGTACATGTGCACAACGTGCAGGTCTGTTACATATGTATACGTGTGCCATGTTGGTGTGCTGCACCCATTAACTCGTCATTTACATTAGGTATATCTCCTAATGCTATCCCTTCCCCCTCCCCCCGCCCCACAACAGGCCCCGGTGTGTGATGTTCCCCTTCCTGTGACCAAGTGTTCTCATTGTTCAATTCCCACCTATGAGTGAGAACATGCGGTGTTTGGTTTTTTGTCCTTGTATATTTCACAGCACAGCAGGAATCAAGTCAACTTTGAGAATAATATCACTAACTGCAAGTGGAACTGAACCTCAAATACAAACAATATGTTTATATTCTTAGGATGGGGGTGCACATCAGTTGCTTGGTTTGCCATGATGCTTTCTTTCCTCACACAATAAACTACAGGGTTAGTACCGTGACCTTTTCTAAAACAAACTTTCAAAACCAGGGCTAAATTTAACTACATTGATTAGCTTAGCCTACAGCATCACACATGAGGTTGTGAAAAGAAATAATTTTCTTAGACAAAATGCATATTCATGACCCTTTCTGGAGGGCTAAATTAAGTACAGTACAGTACTGTTTTTTATATATAGGACAGCAGGTTCTGCTGTAAGTGCCTCTCTAAGTGACATCTCTATATTTGACTGAGTGTACTAAAAGCTCTCCACTCCCTGCTACACACACACACACACACACACACACACATGCACGCACATTCACGTGACAGAAATAAGCTCCATGATCCTTTTGGAAATAGGTCTCCCTCAAGCTCTAGAGTCTGCACTTTTATCCTATATGTCAAGATGATTTTCCCTCAGGAAAAACTGTAATGTTTCCCTGAAACTTTTCTTTCCTGCTTTAGAGAGTAAAAGCGAAAATGACAAGGTAACATTTGTCTTTTCTCCCCCAAATTCAGAGAAATGAATTCAGGCCAGGAAATTCATTCTGTCAAGGAGAAATGTAGAAAGACTTCACAGAGACTCTGAAAAATTTGGTACATAGTGGGATGTGCTGTGTTTGGAGGCAGAAGACAACTCGTTCTATGACTTTAGGCAACTGGTTTAAGCTCCCAGGCCTTAGGTGTCTTACGTGTAGAATGGGATGGTGATAACTCACCAACCTTAAAACCAGAGCCTGAACTGAATGATTTCAGGTTACTTTTCTGCATTAAGACTTACAAATTTACGACAAGGAGTAATAAACTAGACCAATATCTTAGTTAGTTTGGGCTTCTGTAACAGAATACTATAGACTAGGTGGCTTAAACAACAGAAATTTATTTCTCACAGTTTTGAAGGCTGGGAAGTCTAAGGTCAAGGTGCTGGCAGATTCAGTGTCTGGTTGAAGGCTCCCTTCCTGATTTGCAGACTGCTGTCCTCTTCTTGTATCCTCATATGGTGGAGGAGCATGGAAACATAGAGACAGGAAGCCAGCTTTCTCATGTCTCTACTTACAACGGAACTAATCCCATCCTGTGGGCTCTACCCTCATGACCAAATCACCTCCTAAAGGCCTCATCTCGAAATATCATCCCACTGGGGATTAGGGTTTCAATATGATGAATCTGGGGGGACAAAAACATGTACTGCATTACAACCAGTGTGCACATGAATCATCTGGGGAACTTGATGAACTCTGGGTTCAGATTGGCAGGACTGGAGTAGGGCCTGAGATTCTGCATTTCTGACATGCTTCGAGGTGATGGAGATGCTGCTAGTCCACAAACCACACTTAGAGTAGTAAAAGAATAGACCACTGATTTCTGTTCCTGGCCACCAAATATTTGCCAAAAAGTAAGATTCTAACTAAGACCACCACAGCTGAAGGATTTAAATTACTACCATAGGCGGCCTCTCCCTCCTCTCTTTTACTTTTTTCTCGTTGTATTTTCTCATTAACAAAGTTTCTGTCATGTACATTGGAATGCACTTAGCAACTTGTATAATTGCTGGCAGACAGAACACCTTGTAAGCCAAATGAGAGTTTCTCTTCAATAAAATCCTAACATCATAATTTCTCTTTTCCACCTCTGGTCTCCTGGAAAACATTTGTCTCCCATTGGCAGCACCCTTCTGTTAACCGGCCATCTGGAGGCAGTCAGGAAACTGCTAGAACATGCTTGCTGGCCTAAAGACATTCTCGGCTCACCAATGTGAAGAGGCAAACTTAACACAGCAAGATGGGATGTGTGTGTGTGTGTGTGTGTGTGGAGATGGGTGGCATGGGGGGTTTAAGGAGTTGGTTCACATTCACGCAATTATGGGGGCTGGCAAGTCCAAAATCTGCAAGGTAGGCCATGAGGGTAGGGCAACAGGCTGGACACTCAGAAAAGAGTTAATGTTGCAACCTTAAGTCCAAAGGAAGCCTGGAGACAGAATTCCTTCTTCTTTGGGGAAGATCAGTCTTCTTCTCTTAAAGCTTTCAACTGATTGGATGAGGCCCACTCACATTATGACATTATCAAGAGTAATCTGCTTTACTCAAAGTCTACTGATATAAAAATATTAATTGCATCTTAAAAACACCTTCACAGCAACATCTAGACTGGTGATGGACCAAACTACCATGGCCTAGCCAAATAGACATATAAAATTAACTATCACAGGATCTAACAGGAGAATTATTTTGCAACTTGAAATCTGACAGAGAATAAAGTTGCCAAACAGAACTCAGATCTTCCATGCAGGCTGCAAAAGTCCCTAACAGTAGAATTCCAGGCCTCTTCTAGTACTAAGAAACATCTTGACATTTAGATGTTGACTTTTTGGCAAGGGTAATTAACAGTTTCTTAACAAAGATGGCCTAATAGAAACAGTTCCAGTCTACAGCTCCCAGCGCGAGTGATGCAGAAGATGGGTGATTCTGCATTTCCAACTGAGCTTTGAAGACAGCAGTGGTTCTCCAAGCACGGAGTTTGAGATCTGAGAATGGACAGACTGCCTCCTCAAGTGGGTCCCTGACCCCCGAGCAGCCTAACTGGGAGACACATCCCAGCAGGGGCCGACTGACACGTCATACAGCCGGGTGCCCCTCTGAGACGAAGCTTCCAGAGGAAGGATCAGGCAGCAATATTTGCTGTTCTGCAATATTTGCTGTTCTGCAGCCTCCGCTGGTGATACCCAGGGAAACAGGGTCTGGAGTGGACCTCCAGCAAACTCCAACAGACCTGCAGCTGAGGGTCCTGGTTGTTAGAAGGAAAACTAACAAACAGAAAGAAATAGCATCAACATCAACAAAAAGGACATGCACACCAAAACCGCATCTGTAGGTCACCATCATCAAAGATCAAAGGTAGATAAAACCACAAAGATGGGGAGAAACGAGAGAAGAAAGTCTGATAATTCTAAAAACCAGAGCGCCTCTTCTCCTCCAAAGGATCGCATCTCCTCGCCAGCAACTGAACAAAGCTGGAAGGAGAATGACTTTGACGAATTGACAGAAGTAGGCTTCAGAAGATCGGTAATAAGAAACTTCTCCAAGCTAAAGGAGGATGTTCGAACCCAGGAAGCTAAAAGCCTTGAAAAAAGATTAGAAGAATGGATAACTAGAATAAACAGTGTAGAGAAGACATTAAACGGCCTGAGGGAGATGAAAACCATGGCACAAGAACTACGTGACGCATGCACAAGCTTCAGTAGCCGATTCCATCAAGTGGAAGAGAGGGTATCAGTGGTTGAAGATTAAATGAGTGAAATGAAGCAAGAAGAGAAGTTTAGAGAAAGAAGAGTAAAAAGAAATGAACAAAGCCTCCAAGAAACATGGGACTATGTGAAAAGACCAAATCTATGTTTGATTGGTGTAACTGAAAGTGACGGGGAGAATGGAACCAAGTTGGAAAACACTCTGCAGGATATTATCCAGAAGAACTTCCCCAACCTAGCAAGGCAGGCCAACATTCAAATTAAAGAAATACAGAGAACACCACAAAGATACTCCTCAAGAAGAGCAACCCCAAGACACATAATTGTCAGATTCACCAAAGTTGAAATGAAGGAAAAAATGTTAAGGGCAGCCAGAGAGAAAGGTTGGGTTACCCACAAAGGGAAGCCCATCAGACTAACAGCAGATCTCTCAGCAGAAACTCTACAAGCCAGAAGAGAGTGGGGGTCAATATTCAACATTCTTAAAGAATGTTCAACCTAGAATTTCATATCCAGCCAAACTAAGCTTCACTAATGAAGGAGAAATAAAATACTTTACAGACAAGCAAATGCTGAGAGATTTTGTCACTACCAGGCCTGCCTTACAAGAGCTCCTGAAGGAAGCACTAAACATGGAAAGGAAAACTGGTACCATCCACTGCAAAAACATGCCAAATTGTAAAGACCATCAATGCTAGGAAGAAACTGCATCAACTAGTGGGCAAAATAACCAGCTAACATCATAATGACAGGATCAAATTCACACATAACAATATTAATCTTAAATGTAAATGGGCTAAATGCCCCAATTAAAAGACACAGACTGGCAAATTGGATAAAGAGTCAAGACCCATCAGTGTGCTGTATTCAGGGGACCCATTTCACATTCAGAGACACACATAGGCTCAAAATAAAGGGATGGAGGAAGATCTACTAAGCAAATGGAAAACAAAAAAAAGCAGCGATTGCAATCTTAGTTTCTGATAAAACAGACTTTAAACCAACAAAGATCAAAAGAGACAAAGAAGGCCATTACATAATGGTAAATGGATCAATTCAATAAGAAGAGCTAACTATCCTAAATATATATACACCCAATACAGGAGAACCCAGATTAATAAAGCAAGTCCTTAGAGACCTACAAAGAGACTTAGACTCCCACACAATAATAATGGGAGACTTTAACACCCCACTGTCAACATTAGGCAGAACAATGAGACAGAAAGTTAACAAGGATATCCAGGAATTGAACTCAGCTCTGCACCAAGCAGACCTAATAGACATCTACAGAACTCTCCACCCCAAATCAACAGAATATACATTCTTCTCAGCACCACGTTGCACTTACTCCAAAATTGACCACATAGTTGGAAGTAAAGCACTCCTCAGCAAACGTAAAAGAACAGAAATTATAACAAACTGTCTCTCAGACCACAGTGCAATCAAACTAGAACTCAGGATTAAGAAACTCACTCAAAACCACACAACTACATGGAAACCGAACAACCTGCTCCTGGGTAAATAACAAAATGAAGGCAGAAATAAAGATGTTCTTTGAAACCAATGAGAACAAAGACACAACATACCAGAATCTCTGGGACACATTTAAAGCAGTGTGTAGAGGGAAATTTAAAGCACTAAATGCCCACAGGAGAAAGCAGGAAAGATCTAAAATTGACACCTTAACATCACAATTAAAAGAACTAGAGAAACAAGAGCAAATACATTCAAAAGCTAGCAGAAGGCAAGAAATAACTAAGATCAGAGCAGATCTGAAGGAGCTAGAGACACAAAAAAACCTTCAAAAAATCAATGAATCCAAGAGCTGGTTTTTTGAAGAGATCAACAAAATAGATAGATGCTAGCAAGACTAACAAAGAAGAAAAGAGAGAAGAATCAAATAGACACAATAAAAAATGATAAAGGGGATATCACCACCAATCCCACAGAAATACAAACTACCATCAGAGGATACTATAAACACCTCTATGCAAATAAACTAGAGAATATAAAAGAAATAGATAAATTCCTGTACATTTACACCCTCCCAAGACTAAACCAGGAAGAAGTTGAATCCCTGAATAGATCAATAACAGACCCTGAAATTGAGGCAACAGTTAATAGCCTACCAACCAAAAAAGTCCAGGACCAGATGGATTCACAGCCAAATTCTACCAGAGGTACAAAGAGGAGCTGGTACCATTCCTTCTGAAACTATTCCAATCAATAGATCAATAGAAAAAGAGGGAATCCTCCCTAACTCATTTTACAAGGCCAACATCATCCTGATACCAAAGTCTGGCAGAAACACAACAAAAAAAGAGAATTTTAGACCAATATTCCTGATGAACATCAATACAAAAATCCTCAATAAAATACCGGCAAACCAAATCCAGCAGCACATCAAAAAAGCTTATCCACCACGGTCACGTTGGCTTCATCCCTGGGATGCAAGGCTGGTTCAACATATGCAAATCAATAAACATAATCCATCATATAAACAGAACCAAAGACAAAAACCACATGATTATCTCTTTTCTGCATCAACGGATGCAGAAAAAGCCTTCAAGAAAGTTCAACAGCCCTTCATGCTAAAAACTCTCAATAAGCTAGGTATTGATGGGACGTAGCTCAAAATAATAAGAGCTATTTATGACAAACCCACAGCCAATATCATACTGAATGGGCAAAAACTGAAAGCATTCCCTTTGAAAACTGGCACAAGACAGGGATGCCTTCTCTCACCACTCCTATTCAACATAGTGTTGGAAGTTCTGGCCAGGGCAATCAGGCAACAGAAAGAAATAAAGGGTATTCAATTAGGAAAAGAGGAAGTCAAATTGTCCCTGTTTGCAGACGACATGATTGTATACTTAGAAAACCCCATCGTCTCAGCCCAAAATCTCCTTAAACTGATAAGCAACTTCAGCAAAGTCTCAGGATAGAAAATCAATGTGCAAAAATCACAAGCATTCTTATACACCAATAACAGACAAACAGAGAGCCAAATCATGAGTGAACTCCCATTCACAATTGCTTCAAAGAGAATAAAATACCTAGGAATCCA
Organism: Homo sapiens; assembly: GCF_000001405.40. Lineage (NCBI taxonomy): Eukaryota > Metazoa > Chordata > Mammalia > Primates > Hominidae > Homo > Homo sapiens. Next base: position 131,208,692 of record NC_000003.12, on the reverse strand, counting down.
ACTTACAAGGGATGTGTAGGACCTCTTCATGGAGAACTACAAACCACTGCTCCACGAAATAAAAGAGGACACAAACAAATGGAAGAACATTCCATGCTCATGGATAGGAAGAATCAATATCGTGAAAATGTCCATACTGCCCAAGGTAATTTATAGATTCAATGCCATCCCCATCAAGCTACCAATGACTTTCTTCACAGAATTGGAAAAAACTATTTTAAAGTTCATATGGAACCAAAAAAGAGCCCACATTGCTAAGACAATCCTAAGCCAAAAGAACAAAGCTGGAGGCATCATGCTACCAGATTTCAAACTATAATACAAGGCTACAGTAACCAAAACAGCATGGTACTGGCACCAAAACAGAGATATAGATCATTGGAACAGAACAGAGCCCTCAGAAATAATAACACATCTACAATCATCTGATCTTTGACAAACCTGACAAAAACAAGAAATGGGGAAAGGATTCCCTATTTAATAAATGGTGCTGGGAAAACTGGCTAGCCATATGTAGAAAGCTGAAACTGGATCCCTTCCTTACACCTTGTACAAAAATTAATGCAAGATGGATTAAAGACCTAAATGTTAGACCTAAAACCATAAAAACCCTAGAAGAAAACCTAGGCATTACCATTCAGGACATAGGCATGGGCAAGGACTTCATAACTAAAACACCAAAAGCAATGGCAATAAAAGCCAAAATAGACAAATGGGATCGAATTAAACTAAAGAGCTTCTGCACAGCAAAAGAAACCACGATCAGAGTGAACAGGCAACCTACAGAATGGGAGAAAATTTTTGCAATCTACCCATCTGACAAAGGGCTAATATACAGAATCTACAAAGAACTTAAACAAATTTACAAGAAAAAATCAAACAACCCCATCAAATGTGGGCAAAGGATATGAACAGACACTTCTCAAAAGAAGACATTTATGCAGCCAACAGTCACATGAAAAAATGCTCATCATCACTGGCCATCAGAGAAATGCAAATCAAAACCACAATGAAATACCATCTCACACCAGTTAGAATGTTGATCATTAAAAAGTCAGGAAACAACAGGTACTGGAGAGGATGTGGAGAAATAGGAACACTTTTTTTTTTTCTTGAGATAGAGTCTCACTCTTTCACCCAGGCTGGAGTGCACCCAGGCTCGGCTCACTGCAAGCTCAGCCTCCTGGGTTCATGCCATTCTCCTGCCTCAGCCTCCCGAGTAGCTGGGACTACAGGTGCCTGCCACCGCGCCCAGCTAATTTTTTGTATTTTTAGTAGAGATAGCGTTTCACCGTGTTAGCCAGGATGGTCTCGATCTCCTGACCTCGTGATCCACCCGCCTCAGCCTCCCAAAGTGCTGGGATTACAGGCATGGGCCACCGTGCCCAGCCAGGAACACTTTTACACTGTTGGTGGGACTGTAAACTAGTTCAACCATTGTGGAAGACAGTGTGGCGATTCCTCAAGGATCTAGAACTAGAAATACCATTTGACCCAGCCATCCCATTACTGGGTATATACTCAAAGGATTATAAATCGTGCTACTATTAAGACACATGTGCGCATATGTTTATTGTGGCACTATTCACAATAGCAAAGACTTGGAACCAACCCAAATGTCCATCAATGATAGACTGGATTAAGAAAATGTGGCACATATACACCATGGAATACTATGCAGCCATAAAAAATGATGAGTTCATGTCCTTTGTAGGGACATGGATGAAGCTGGAAACCATCATTCCCAGCAAACTATCACAAGGACAGAAAACCAACCACCACATGTTCTCACTCATAGGTGGGAATTGAACAATGAGAACACTTAGACACAGGGTGGGGCCTGTCGTGGGGTGAGGGGATGGGGGAGGGATAGCATTAGGAGAAATACCTAATATAAATGATGACTTAATGGGTGCAGCTTAATGGGTGCAGCACACCAACATGGCACATGTATACATATGTAACAAACCTGCACGTTGTGCACATGTACCCTAGAACTTAAAGTATAATAAAAAAATAAATAAATAAAACAATGCATGTTAAGGGAATGATGCAGTACCTGTAATGTTAGCCCTCTAGTGATGCATATTTTTATTGTTTCTTACTTTAATTTTTGCTTGTGTGATAGATAAATGTGTTATTGTATTCATTTTAATTGAATTTTAAAAATTAAGAGTGAACCCTAACGATTCTAATATTTTTATTAGCTGTTTTACTTTTTGCTCTGTGACTTGTTAATATTTGGCTTAGGACCAAGGTATTTGTGCATAAATTTTTTAAATGTTAAAGCTATTAAACCTTTGTTAAGTTTAAAAATAAAAACAGTTTCTTAACAAATAGAAACTTGCAACTACTATATCTTACAGCCTATCTGGAAAAGCTCTTTATCTCTAAGTATTCATGGTAAACTGTCTACAATTTTCTGGTAGAGTTCTCCTCAGTCATTCTCAGAAAATCATTGTCATCTTCACTTTGTCTGAAGTTTTCAAACCTATCTGGAGAGCCTGACTATTTGGGTGAAGACACTGATGCCCACCATGGACAGAACCAGGTAACCAGGTCACGTTACGGTGTGGTGCCTGTACAAGGCTTCTTTTGGTGAATGTGGGTGCTCTGTGTTATACTGTAACCATAGAGAAAGTGTCAGCACTAAGGGGCTCAGAGATTCATTAAAATCATTTTCCTTACTTATACGCAGTGATTCCATGGTTATCCTGTGACACAGACAACACATCAATAAAATCATCAATATTCTTTAAAAAATGTTTAAAGCCTAATTCAGGAAAAACTGATAAGAAAACTCCCCCAGATCTCATAAAACAGCTAGGAATTACTTCCAAATTTTTGAAAAGCTAGGTGTCTTAGGCTGAATTCCCCAGAAAAAGACTCTTGAGATGAGAATTTTTGTAAAAGTTATTTATCAGAAAGGCAGTATCAAGTAGAGGTCCACAAGGCCTAACTTTGGCTTAATCCCCCAGAGCTCTAGAGACAATTAACAGGGAGGTACTGGAGTGTTTATGCTCTTCCATACATTAGTCATTTTGAAAAGTCTGCCTCTTGAGGGCTGGGGGTGTGGGAGAGAGGTATATATTCCCAGGCCCTTCTGGCTGTCTGAGTATAGACAGACGGAGCTCTGGCAGCTTGAGAGTAGCCCCCACAAAAAGAGACACAGCTGGGACACAAAGCACAAGGAAATGGTAAAGGGATCAAACAGGGTATGAACAACCTGATAGCAACTGCTATACTGGAGCCTTTTTTCCTGACACTTGATTCCTATTCTGCTTTCTCCAGCTCTACCTGTTTGTGGTTCCTCTAATCAGACACCCTCCTGCTACATGCCTCCACTGAGAATGAGTAATGAAAGCCAAGGTGGTTACCTGTTCTGGATTCAAAAGTGCATTCCAACACTTGTTGGCTGTCAACACTTTGGACCAACACTTTCATTTCTTATTTACCATTTAAATTTCAATTTGATCTAGCCCTATCCATTTGTGATTTTGCTTTTACCAAACCCAAATTCCAAAACCAAGTGAATCTTTAGTTCACTTTGCACCAAGCCCACCCAGCTCCAGCATCTTGCCATACAGAGGTTAGTTTCCTAAGGATGGTGAGTCTTACCTTCATCCCTATCGCCAGTCCACTTGGCCTCCTGATCTGGACTGGGCCTTTTATATATCATCTTAAATTGCTCAGCCATGGTGTCTATTGAACTATAACTCATGTTTAGCTGATCACTTTCCCAAAAAATTAGCACCCTCAATGGAGAAAATCTTGAAGTCACAAGGTTCAATGCCCTCTCCCCATCAATATTCTGCTTCTGATTCTCTCAGAGCACTTTGACGGTCCTCATGCTGCAAACAATGAAAAAGCCCAAGGCATGCCTACTGATTTGCATCAAATTATTTTCATAAACAGCAATGCTAAGTCCTTCCACTAGAAAATTAATTTTGGCCTATTTAATGAGTAGGGAGAAATAGATGTGTTGTACATTTGCATTGTAGTACTATTTATTTAAAAAAAAAAACCTCAAACCATTTTTCCTCTGCTGTCCCACCAAGAAAACAATCAATACAGAAGACACCTGTGACCAAATGTGTGGGTGTTTTTCCCACAAACAAACAAGCAATTACTACTGCAATGGACACCAGCTGGGTGTTCCCTAATTCAATTCTGACTATCTACAATATCTATCTATGACACTGGAGATGGTGTCAGATCTCACAGGTTGAGAGCTCAGTCCCCAAGACTGCCCCACTTCAAACACCAGTCACAAATCCAGGCCTTCTGATCAACTGGCTATAAATCAGCTTCTCACAGCCCCCTCCTTGGGTTTGATTAATTTGCTAGGGTGACTCACAGAACTCAGGGAAACACTGATGTTTACTGGTTTATTATACAGGATATGACATAGGATACAGATAAAGAAATGCATAGGGTAAGGCATGGAGGAAGTGGCATGGAGCATCCATGCCCTTCCTGGGTGTGCCACCCTCTAGGACCCTCCATGTGTTCAGCCATCCAGAATCTGGGCAAACTCCATCCTTTTGGGTTTTTTGGAGACTTCATTGCATAGGCATGGTCAAAGCATGGATAACTGTGTCAAAATGTGATTGGACAAAAAGAGTAAGATCTAAACCTAGCAAAGCCTCTTTGTTCAGATTCCATTTGGCCTCTCTATGCAGCATCTCTTTCTCCAGGGAATGAAACAGGACCCTCTCTAGAATGAAGGTCTTATGACTCACAATCAGATTAGAGTTCTATTGTAGGTGAGAGAAAGGAGGGCAGGGGAAGGTCAGAGAAAGAGATTCTGTTTACTGAAACAAGGGCTATGGAAGTTATGAGCTAGGAACCATGGGTGAAAACTTTATATATATATATATATATATATATATATATATATATATATATATATATATATATATATACACACACACACACACACACATATATATATACACATATATAATATACAAATATACATATATACATATATACATATATATATGAACTTTATGTGTACTTTATATATGTGTGTGTGTGTGTGTATCACAATATCACCGTTTTGAAAATTTTTGTTTCAGCGGAGCTGAAGCCAAGTTTCTTTTTTTTTTTTATTATACTTTAAGTTTTAGGGTACATGTGCACAAAGTGCAGGTTTGTTACATATGTATACATATGCCATGTTGGTGTGCTGCACCCATTAACTTGTCATTTAACATTAGGTATATCTCCTAATGCTATCCCTCCCCCCTCCCCTCACCCCACAACAGGCCCCAGTGTGTGATGTTCCCCTTCCTGTGTCCATGTGTTCTCATTGTTCAATTCCCATCTATGAGTGAGAACATGCGGTGTTTGGTTTTTTGTCCTTGCGATAGTTTGCTGAGAATGATGGTTTCCAGCTTCATCCATGTCCCTACAAAGGACATGAACTCATCATTTTTTATGGCTGCATAGTATTCCATGGTGTATATGTGCCACATTTTCTTAATCCAGTCTATCATTGATGGACATTTGGGTTGATTCCAAGTGTTTGCTATTGTGAATAGTGCCACAATAAACATACAAGTGCATGCGTCTTTATAGTAGCATGATGTATAATCCTTTGGGTATATACCCAATAATGGGATCACGGGGTCAAATGGTATTTCTAGTTCTAGATCCCTGAAGAATCGCCACACTGCCTTCCACAATGGTTGAACTAGTTTACACTCCCACCAACAGTGTAAAAGTATTCCTATTTCTCCACATCCTCTCCAGCACCTGTTGTTTCCTGACTTTTTAATGATTGCCATTCTAACTGGTGTGAAATAGTATCTCATTGTGGTTTTGATTTGCATTTCTCTGATGGCCAGTGATGATGAACATTTTTTCATGTGTCTGTTGGCTGCGCAAATGTCTTCGTTTGAGAAGTGTCTGTTCATATCCTTTGCTCACTTTTTGAGGGGGCTGTTTGATTTTTTTCTCGTAAATTTGTTTAAGTTCTTTGTAGATTCTGGATATTAGCCCTTTGTCAGATGGGTAGATTGCAAAAATTTTCTCCCATTCTGTAGGTTGCCTGTTCACTCTGATGGTAGTTTCTTTTGCTGTGCAGAAGCTCTTTAGTTTAATTAGATCCCATTTGTCTATTTTGGCTTTTGTTGCTATTGCTTTTGGTGTCTTAGATGCCAGGCTTGCCACCTCGCAGTTTGATCTTGGACTAGCAGTGAGGAAGGCTCCATGGGCGTGGGACCTGCTGAGCCAGGTGCTGGATATAATCTCCTGGTGTGCCGTTTGCTAAGACCATTGTAAAAGTGCAGTGTTTAGGTGGCAGTGTCCCGATTTTCCCAGTACAGTCTGTCAGGGCTTCCCTTGGCTAGGAAAGGGAAATCCTCTGACCCCATGCACTTCCCAGGTGTGGTGATGCCCTGCCCTGCTTCAGCTTGCCTTCCGTGGGCTGCACCCACTGTCCAGCCCGTCCCAATGAGATGAACCAGGCATCTCAGTTGGAAATGCAGAAATCACCTGTCTTCTGCGTTGATCATGCTGGGACCTGCAAACCAGAGCTGTTCCTATTCCGCCCTCTTGGAATGGACCCTTGGCTCACACTAATCCCAGCACTTTGGGAGTCCAAGGTGGGTGGATCATGAGGTCAGGAGATCGAGACCATCCTGGCTAACATGGTGAAACCCCGTCTCTACTAAAAATACAAAAATTAGCCAGGTGTGGTTGTGCACACCTACAATCCCAGCTATTCAGGAGGCTGAGGCAGAGAATCGCTTGAATCCGGTGAGGCAGAGATTGCAGCGAGCAGAGATTGTGCCACTGCGCTCCAGCCTGGGCGACAGAACGAGACTCTGTCTCAAAATAAAATAAAATAAAATAAAAATCTGAATTTACATTTCTCATGTGCTGTAGGATTTCATGAGAAATTAACATTAAATTGGTCTGGAGTAGTTATACAGGATGCCTGCCAGAAAGAAAAAAAAAAATGACTGGAGGGACATTCCTACAACCTGCTGTTTAGCATTTGCTCAGAGAAAAATCTCCACTCATGATAAACTCTCAACCTAAATTTACTTACACACTTCAATGTTGTGGTGAACACATAACTTTGCAAAGTTTGTAGAGGTATTTCTGGATGATAAACTACTACAAGAAAATGCTGGGTAAAAGGAGAGGCACATTTCTGTCAGAGAGAACATTTCCCCTAGATATGTACAGAGTTTGCTCTCTCATTTCCTTTGTTTCTACTAAAATGATACCTCCCAAACAATACCAAAGAAGTGCAATATAATAAATATAAAGCAAATACTTGCAAAACTACTATATAGGTCGAGAAACTTAAAATTAACCAGTGGCCCAAATGCATCACCGACATTCCGATATTCCACATCCCTTCCTATTTGTAAGCCTGCTTTTCACTCTAGAAATAACCAATATTTTAACTTTTATGGTAAGCACGTCCTTGCTTTTCTTTATAGTTTCATATATATATATATATGAAAGTATATATATATATAGTTATATATATAATTCCTAAATGATATACTCTGGCTTATCTGGTTTAATGGTTATGTAAAAGAAATTATATCTTAGGGAATCTTTCATATCTTGCTTCTTTTAGTTATATCATGTCTACAAGATTTATCTATGTTGTTACAGAGAGCTGAGGTCCATTTACTTTTATTGCTATAGAGCATCCCATTGTATGAATATGCTATAATTTATTTGTTATGCTATTAATAGGCATTTCATTGTTTCTAGAGGCTATTACTGCATTCTTGTATATGTCTCCTGGTGCACATGTTACCGAAACACCAGGGGTTCGGTCTAGGTCCTGCTGCTCGCAGCACAGAAAGCCAATCACTGAGACAATGAGTACACCAAGGAAGAAGGCTTTAATCGGGTGCTGCAGCCAAAAAGATGGGAGCTCAGCCTCAATTCCATCTCCCTGGCTCACTAACTCTAGGGTTTATATAGCAGGGAAGAAATGTAACAATGTGTAAGAAAGCAAGAACTACAGGGGGGCTTGAGGCATCTGGTGAGTTTTGGTTCTTTGATACTTTTTTGAGAGGCCTGATAGTCCTTTCCTGAGAAAGAAACTCAGATAAAACAAAGACAAGTTTCAAGCTTTAAGAGCAGAAGGGTCAATTTCTATGTTTATCCCAAAACAATTGTCTATAGGACTGTTGGGCTGGTTTCACACATAAGCATACATGTTTCTAAGGAATACACCCAGGAGTAAAATTATTGAGTCATAGGGTATGCATCTTTATTAGAAGATGCCAAGAGCTATTTTCCAAAGAAGAGGCATCAATTTATACTCCCACCAGTAATGGAAGCATAATTTGTCTTTGTAGTTCCACATCCTTAACAACACTTGGTATTATCAAACTTTTACATTTTTGTCCTGAGTGGTACGTAGTGGTATCTCAGTGTGGACTTTAATTTTCATTACCTTGATTTACTCTATGAATTACAGGTTGGAAGTTACTTTCTTTCAGTACACAGAAGATGTCAATTACTTATGCGTTTCTTTATTGCTATTTAGATTAGCAATTAGTTTCCTTGTCACTTGTTTGAAAGTAATTTATTGGTTTTTCTCTGGATTCTTTCAAGAATCTCTACATCTTTGGTTGTCTGAAGTTTTAATATGATATATCAAGCTATAGATTTCTGTATTTTGTTACTCGGTATTCTTCAGTCTCTTGAATCTATTGAATGATATCCATCAATTCTGGAAAATTTTCCCCTGTTATTTCCTGAAATACTGTTTCTCTCTGAGACTTCAGTTAAGTGATATTAGATCTCACTGTGTTTCCCCGGTCTTTTGCCCTTTCTTCTGTAATTCCCTGTTTTTACTCTCAGTATTCTAATGTATTCTCACCTTTCTTTCAGTTCATTAATTTCTGCTTTAGTGGTATATAAGCTTTATGAAAACTAGTCTAGTCTAATCTACTGAAATCTTGCTGGCATTACCCAGCCTACATTATCAGAAGTAGAATGCCACTGTGTTTTATAAGATATTATATTTTACTTCTATTTGTAGTTTTTTGTTCATTTTCTAACTTCTCCTCCAGAATGTTATATTCCAAGAGGTTAGGGACTTAAAAAAAAAAAGCATTGTATTCTCAACACCCAGAGAGTTCTTTACATATGATATTTTTTAAAAAACTGTTGAATAAAAATGTTAATTTTTAAAAAAGTTGTAAAATATTTCTTCAAAACTATTATGCATTTTACCAACAATGTATAAAAGTCCTGTTTTCCCCCACACTTTTGTTAACATTGTATATTCTGTCTTGTAAATCTTTCCAGTTTTACAAAACTGTGATATATTATAGTTTTATTTTTATTTATTTAATAAGGTTGAATCACCTTTTATTAGCCTTTTGTGAGATTCTTCATGAAATTGGTAATTTCCTCTGCTCATTTTTCTGTTGGGTTTTCTTTTTTTCCTAATTTAAAGGGGTAGGTAGAACATATATTTTATACATTATAACCTGTATATATTGTAAGAATTGCAAATGTTTTCTTAATTTGTTATTTCTCATTTGTCTTTTATCTTTATTATGTCTTTTGCTATATAGAAATTTTGCGGCAAGGCTAAATTTCCTCGTTACCTGTGGCTACAAGGTTTCCAAACCAAAGGCTCAGCTCTGCTCATAGCAGGTTAAATACGTAGGGGCAAAATTATCCAAAGGCACCAGGGCACTCAGTGAGGAACGTATCCAGCCTATACTGGCTTGTCCTCATCCCAAAACCCTAAAGCAACTAAAAGGGCTCCTTGGCATAACAGGTTTCTGCCGAATATGGATTCCCAGGTACGGCGAAATAGCCAGAACATTATATAATTAAGGAAACTCAGAAAGCCAATACCCATTTAGTAAGATGGACACCTGAGGCAGAAGCAGCTTTCCAGGCTCTAAAGAAGGCCCTAACCCAAGCCCCAGCGTTAAGCTTGCCAACGGGACAAGACTTTTCTTTATAAGTCACAGAAAAAACAGGAATAGCTCTAGGAGTCCTTACACAGGTCCGAGGGATGAGCTTGCAACCCATGGCATACCTGAGTAAGGAAACTGATGTAGTGGCAAAGAGTTGGCCACATTGTTTACGGGTATTGGCGACAGTAGCAGTCTTAGTATCTGAAAAAGTTAAAATGATACAGGGAAGAGATCTTACTGTGTGGACATCTCATGATGTGAATGGCATACTCACTGCTAAAGGAGACTTGTGGCTGTCAGACAACTGTTTACTTAAATATCAGGCTCTATTACTTGAAGGTCCAGTGCTGTGACTGCGCACTTGTGCAACTCTTAACCCAGCCACATTTCTTCCAGACAATGAAGAAAAGATAGAATGTAACTGTCAACAAGTAATTGCTCAAACCTATGCCACTTGAAGGGACCTTTTAGAGGGTCCCTTGACTGATCCCGACCTCAGCTTGTATACTGATGGAAGTTCCTTTGTAGAAAAAGGACTTTGAAAAGCAGGGTATGCAGTGGTCAGTGATAATGGAATACTTGAAAGTAAACCCCTCACTCCAGGAACTAGTGCTCAGCTGGCAAAACTAACAGCCCTCACTCGGGCACTAGAATTAGGAGAAGGAAAAAAGGGTAAATATATATACAGACTCTAAGTATGCTTACCTAGTCCTCCATGCCCATGCAGCAATATGGAGAGAAAGGGAATTCCTAATTTCGAGGGAACACCTATCAAACATCAGGAAGCCATTAGGAGATTATTATTGGCTGTACAGAAACCTGAAGAGGTGGCAGTCTTACACTGCCATCATCATCAGAAAGGAAAGGAAAGGGAAATAGAAGGGAACCGCCAAGCAGATATTGAAGTCAAAAGAGCTGCAAGGCAGGACCCTCCATTAGAAATGCTTATAGAAGGACCCCTAGTATGGGGTAATCCACTCCGGGAAACCAAGTCCCAGTACTCAGCAGGAAAAATAGAATAGGGAACCTCACGAGGACATACTTCCCTCCCCTCCAGATGGCTAGCCACCAGAGAAGGAAAAATATTTTGCCTGCAGCTAACCAATAGAAATTACTTAAAACCCTTCACCTAACCTTCCACTTAGGCATTGATAGTACCCATCAGATGGCCAAATTATTATTTACTGGGCCAGGCCTTTTCAAAACTATCAAGCAGATAGTCAGGGCCTGTGAAGTGTCCCAAAGAAATAATCCCCTGCACTTCAGGCCATACATTTCAATCCCTGTATCTTTAACCTCCTTGTTAAGTTTGTCTCTTCCAGAATTGAAGCTCTAAAACTACAAATTGTTCTTCAAATGGAGCCCCAGACGCAGTCCATGACTAAGATCTACCGCAGACCCCTGGACCGGCCTGCTAGCCCATGCTCCGATGTTAATGACATCGAAGGCACCCCTCCAGAGGAAATCTCAACTGCATAACCCCCACTACGCCCCAATTCAGCAGGAAGCAGTTAGAGCAGTCATCGGCCATCCTCCCCAACAGCACTTGGGTTTTCCTGTTGAGAGGGGGTACTCAGAGACAGGACTAGCTGGATTTCCTAGGCTGACTAAGAATCCCTAAGCCTAGCTGGGAAGGTGACTGCTTCTACCTTTAAACCCGGGGCTTGCAACTTAGCTCACACCTGACCAATCAGGTAGGAAAGAGAGCTCACTAAAATGGTAACTAGGCTAAAACAGGAGGTAAAGAAATAGCCAATCATCTATCGCCTGAGAACACAGTGGGAGGGACAATGATTGGGTTATAAACCCAGGCATTGGAGCCAGCAATGGCTACCATTTTTGGGTCCCCTCCCTTTGTATGGGAGCTCTGTTTTCACTCTATTTCACTCTATTAAATCTTGCAACAGCAAAAAAAAAAAAAAAGAAAAGAAAAGAAAAGAAATTTTGTGGCCAGGCATGGTGCCTCACACCTGTAATCCCAGCACTTTGGGAGGGCGGATCACAAGGTCAAGAGTTCGAGACCAGCCTGGCCAATATGGTGAAACCCCATTTCTACTAAAAATACAAAAATTAGCCCAGCGTGGTGGCACCACCTGTAGTCCCAGCTACTCAGGAGGCTGAGGCAGGAGAATCACTTGAACCAGGGAAGTGGAGGTTGTAGTGAGCCAAGATCATGCCACTCTACTCCAGCTTGTGTGGCAGAGTGAGACACTGTCTCAAAAAAAAAAGAAAAAGGAAAAAGAAATTTCGCATTTTTAAATAGGCAATTCTGTAAGTCTTTTATGACTTCTGGGTTTATTTCATAATTATAAAGAAATTCCTTACTCCAAGAATATGAAGTTATTCTTCAATATCTTCTTTTATTATTTGTTTCATATCTTAAATATTTAAATTTTTAATTCACTGAAATTTATTTTTGTGTGTGTTATACAGTAAGAATCTATTTTTTTTCCAAACAGGCAATTTTTCCAAGACTACTTATTTAAATATGTCTTCTTTCTTCACTAAATAAAACAATGCATTTGTATATACTAAACTCATATTTAGGCAATGTTCTGGATTCTTTACTTTGCTCCATTGATCTGCTTATCATTGCATATCTCTGGAAAATCTTAAGGACTGCTAATAGAGTATTTGAAAAGACATTTAAGAGTTTTATATCACAGTAGAACCTAGATATTGTACTAATAATCATTTTTCATATTCTATTTAATATTTATCATAAATAATAATAACTTACAAAGGACTTTCAATATATTATCACATATAATAGTCACCAAACCCACATAAAATACGCTCCCATTCATTCATTAAGCAAGTATTTATCGGACGCATTTTACAAATAACTAACTGTACTGGTTAATGGGTATAAAAATTATCAAAATTGACAGAGCTCCTACACTTATGAAACTTACATACCAATAGGGTGTATAAAAATTTCTTCAATTTTATATATATATATATATATATATATATTCTGAAATATATATTCTTTATATATACAATTTGTAGACATTATATGTACCACAACTGACAAAGGTGCTATAAAGGAAAAGAACTGTTTCAGCATCAACTCATGGTACAACTCCGGGGACCACCTTCACATCATCTATGGAGGTCCCTGATGTTGTGCAGCACACAGCAGGCACAACTGTATGCAGTAGCCCTGCGGGTGCTAATATAAGAATAACACATGAGATCTAATTTATATCTGTGACTCAGGGAAGGATTCTCTGCAAATAGGACCTTTAAACTGAGGCCTGAAGGATGGATAGGCATGAACTAGGTACATGGTGAGGGCATATGATGTGGCTTCCAAGACAAACAGACATTTCAAAGATGGGAAAGATGTGGGCACACCCAGAGAACAATATGGCTGGACTATCAGGAGTGTAGTGGGCAATCATTCTTGTTTTCAGTGCTTAAACTAAGAAAATCTCAGGCAAACTGGGATGGCTGGTCACCATAACAGGAGTGAGATGGAGTGTAGTAGCATGGGGTGAGGTTGGAGGAGGGGTGGGGAAGAGCAAGCAGGCAGGGGCCTTATAGGCCACGTGAAAGTTTTTCTGTTGTATATCCTACACACAACAGAAAGCTAATAGAGGTTTCAAGCAAGCAATGGCAAACTCTGCTTTACATTTTTAAAAGATCACTTTGGTAGGCATGTAGAGAATGAACTCGTTGCGGGCAGGAGACTAGCTGGAGGCAAATGCAGCACTTGAGATGAGATGAGGGCTCCTCAGCGTTGGGCAACTGGAGGTTCTTACCACGCTCATTACCATGAGCAGCCTGGTAATAGTACCTCAGAATCCATGTTATAGATGACAGTGTTGAAACTTGGGAAAGTTTCAGAACTTGTCTGACATCACACAGCCAGTGTAGGAAGGCTAGATTCAACCTCAGATCTTTTCACTCTGTATCTCTTGATTCTTACTATACCATGCAGACTTCTTGCTTTATATTTCCTATATAAGAAAACAAACTTGAAAAGATGCATTCAGTTGCATGATCGGTAGGATGACAGTTTCTTAGAAAAATAAAAGGGGAAAATATATTTTGTATTTAATAAATGTTGTAGTTTCTCCTAATCATTTGTTAAAACTCAATTTAAAACACAAAGTTCACAGTTAAAATGTTGAGATAATTATTTAATTATAAAATATAAATTTATAAAAACAATGTAAATAGTGTACATATTGTGTGGCTTCACTCAAAAAATGAAAATGACTATTTTGAACAGTGGGGAAGAGAAACATTATCAATGTTGAAGTAAGGAAATATTATGCATTTCTGACTCCAAGTTCTGAATTTATAGGATCCTATTGAAAACACCTAGAAAACTCTCTAGGATGTAATAAATCTTGACAATGGAAGAGGTGCATATATATAGAAATATAAATTTGGGCCCATCATACTATTGCTGTACATTCAACTAGAACTGCATTTATTCCAATTGTACATTAAGTGTCTTTGTCAAATACACCTAATTTTTCATAAGCTATTCGACTAAAAATAACTATATATCTTTACAAGAGAAAATTAAACAACAAAAGGAATACATTCATTTAAGAATATAACTGGGAAAACTGAAATAAAACTATACTTGCAATTTGTCAATGCTGACATAGAGCAATCCATCTAAAGATATTCTCTGAAATCCATGCCACTAGGGGCAGAAAAACATTTCACTGTCACCATACCTCCCAGTGTCTGAAAGTTTTATTTCCATGACGATAAACCTGCAAATCAACTTGCTGTAATGTGTTGATTGCATTTGCTGATACTACAGCTTTCCAAGGACTATTTTTTTGAAAAGTTGACAAGTAACACAAAATTATTTATCAGGCAATTGCATCTTATTTGAGATTCTTCAGTGATGAAAAACTGCTGTGCCTAGTGAATGCTGGAGCCAGGCATTTGGCTGATTCATTTAGAAACTCTCAAACTCTTGGGAGAAATATTTAAGTAAATGATTGTACTTCATCACACAATTATCCCCATAGGAGGCCCCCCAACAATTTCAAGATCTTGCACCTACCTACTTAGCACATAAAATGATATCTATTAAAGCATAAAAGTGCATAATCTCAGTAAGAATGTAGAATTTTATGATCATTACAATAACACTGAAAACATTAATTCTGTTTATTAATGATTTCACACCCATGAAATTCAAATAAAGTAGGGCTTTTACCTTACATACCCTATTTATGAAATGGATTCCTATTGCTTCATTATTCCTTTTCCAGTTTATTAAAATTGTTTAATAGTGCAGAACAAATGGAGAAATTATTCATGATATCCTGTAATATTTAATGCTAGCTCTTGCAGTGTCATTTTATGCCTAGAATAGAAGTTCTCAAACAGTGGTCCAGGAACCCCTGGAAGTCTCTGAGACTCAGGAAGTCCAAACTCTAACAATACCAATATGTTATTTGCCTTTTTCACTCTTGTCCTATCATTAATAGACAGTTTTCCAAAGGCTATATGGCATGTAATATCACAATAGACTAAATACAAAGCAGATATGAGACTACCACTGCCTTCTCTTAGGCTAGTCGCTAAAAAAAAGGTAAAAATGTAAACTAACACCATTTCTTTAAACAAATTTTTTATTTTGGAAAACATGGTTAACTTTCATGATAAGTATGCAATTTATGTTAATATGTATAGATTTATTACTGTTATTTTTAAGTGACTATTTTTAAATTCTGTTTTACTTTCTAATACGGTATATATCTATAGATATAACCATGTAAACAAAAGCTCTTCAGTGTCCCAAGCAATTTTTAAGCGTGTTAAGGTGTCCTGGTGCCAAAAAGTTTGAAAGCTGCTAACCTAGAGTTTATTCAGTAGCTGGGGACACCAGCCGATTACCACACCATCACACTGTTGTGCAACCATCACCACCATCCCTGTCCAGAACTTTTTATCTTCCCAAATGGAAACTCTGTACCATGAAACAATAACTCCCCATTACTTCCTTCCCCCAAGACCCTGACAACCACAGTTCTACTTTCTGTCTCTATGATTTTGGCTGCTATACGTAGCTCATTAAAGCAGAATTATGCAATATTTGTCCCCTTGTGTCTGGCTTATTGCATGTAGCATAATGTCTTCAAGGTTCATTACATGGTGGCATGTATCAGAATTTTCTTCCTTTTCAAGGCTGAATAATATTCCATTGTATGTATGTTATACTTTGTTTATCCATTCATCCATCAATGGACATTTGAGTTGTTTTCACCTTTTGGCTATGGTGAATAGTGCTGCTGTGAACATCGGTATACAAATATCTCTTTGAGACCCTGCTTTCAATTTTGGAGGGTATATAATCACATGTGGAACTGCTGGAAAATATGGTAATTCCATGTTTAATTTTTTGACGAATCACCATACTGTTTTATACAGCAGCTACCTCATCTTAACATTCCCACCAGCAGTGCATAAGGGTTCCAATTTCACCACATGCTGGCCAACATTTGTTATTTTGTTTTTTGATAGTTGCCATTCTAATGGGTGTAAAGTCGTATCTCATTGTGATTTTTAACTGCATTTTCCTAGTGATTAGTGATATGGAGCATCATTTTATGTGCTTATTGGCCATCTGTATATCTTCTTTGGAGAAATTTCTATTCAAATCTTTTGTCCATTTTTTAATTGGGCTGTTTGATTTGTTGTTGTTTTCAAGAGTTCTTTATATATTCTGGATATTAATCCCTTATTGGATATGTGCTTTGCAAATATTCTCTCCCGTTCTGTGGGTTGCCACTTTACTATGTTGATACTGTTCTTTGATACATAAAAATTTCTCATTTTGATGAAATCCATGTTTATGTTTTCTTTTGTTGCTGGTACTTTTGGTGTCATATCAATAAATTACTGTCATATCCAATGTCATGAGCTTTCTTCTATGTGTTTTTATAGTTTTAGGTTTTTGATCTATTTTAATTTTAATTTTTGGTATGAGGTAAGGGTCTAGCTTTATTCTTTTGCATGAGATATCCAGTCTTCCTAATATCATTTGTTGAAAAGACTGTCCTTAACTCTCTTTTTAAACATTGTATTTTTTTTATCAGAATTCAGAGTATTTGTAGTAGGCAGAATAATAACCCCCAAACAATGTTCACATCCTAATCCCCAGAGTTTTTGAATATGTTATCTTACATGGCAAAGCAGAGTTAAGATTGATAGAATTAAGATTGTTAATTAGCTGCCTTTAAAATAGGGAGATCATCCTGGATTACCTGGGTGGGCCCAATATAATTATAAGAGTCCTTAAAAATAGAAGAGGGCACAGCACAGAAGAGGGAGAACCAGAGAGATGGCAGCATCAGAAGGGCTTGGTCCAGTGTTGCTAGCTTTGAAAATAGAGAAAGGAGGGCACAAACCAGGAATGCAGGAGCTCTATGAGCTGGAAACAGCAAGGTCACTAGAGCCTCCAGAAGGAATGCAGGCCAGTGACATCTTGATTTTAGCCCAGTGAGACCAATCTTGGACTTTTAATCTCCAGAGCTGTAAGAGAGTCCATTTGCATTGCTTAAGCCACTAAGTTTGTGATTATTTGTTATAGCGGCAATGAGAAATCAATACAGTATTATTTTTTCTAGGTATTAAATGTATTTTTTGAAATTATCAAAGAAAAAACTGAAACTGAGTAGTTGCTGAACTTTAGATAATTGTTCCTTTACCACAAGAGATATTAGTTAATAACATACCTCTGTAAGGATAAGAATAATAATTATAACAATGTGAAGAGGCTGCAGTCATTGTATCTTTTATTGGCTATGTGTTTCACTTTTAGATACTATTAATTGATTTCCTGCTGTTAAAGAAGTCTGTACACTAAGGCTTTTTTCCAACTCACCTTTCCATACCTCCCAATTTTGGTGACATGTTATTTTTATGTTGTTAAATGTTGTAATATTTACAATAATTATATTTTGTTCTGAAATCATAATTTCTAGAGATCTTTTAGTCTTCAGAATTGGAAGATTATCTTCTAATTTTACCCTGGATTAAGAGATTCAATGCCCCACTAAACTTTTTACCATAGCGTATTAGTCCACTTGTATCACTATAATTATAAAGAATACCTGAGGATGGGTAATTTATAAAGAAAAGAGGTTTATTTTGGCTGAGGGTTCTGCAGGCTGTACAGCAAGTGTTGTGCCAGCGTCCACTTCTGGTGAGGGCCTCAGGAAGCTTAAAATCATAGCAGAAGGTGAAGGGGGAGTGGGTGTCACATGGTGAGACAGGAAGCAACAGAAGGGAACAAGAAGGGGGAAGAAGCTACACTCTTTTAAACAACCAGATCTCATCTGAACTCATCAAGTGAGAAATCACTCATTACTTTAGGGATGACATTAAGCCATTCATGAGGGATCTGCCTCTATGATCCAAATACCTCCCACCAGCCCAACCTCCAACATATTTGTCTGTTTATTTTCCATCGCCCCCAGTTGAATGGAGGCTCCATGGAGGCAGGGATTTGTGTCTGCTTTGTTCACTCCTGAATCCTCAGTGCACAGGACAGTGCCGGGCACATGTGAGTGCTCGAACAGTAGTTTTTGAGAGCATGAATAAGTTCATTTGCTGCTAAAGAATTTTTGCTTCTTTAAAAAAATAATTTCTAGCTCAAGTTTCCCAAAATGACTAGCAAAATACCTTGAACTTAGCAGTTTCTCAGTAAATATTTATGGATCTATACATCGATGTGTAAAGTTAAATACAATCACAAGGCTATATGTGATTAAAAATAGTAGAGATATAAAGTCTTACGGTAAGTGAGCAATTAGAAAAAACATTTCTGTTTGGACTGGTTGTGAAATATTCTGTAAGCCTTTAACAATAATGAAAATTAGTAAAATAGTAGTAAAATAATTATTAATCACTACATTCCAGCAACTTCTCTAAGTGCTTTTAAATTCCTCACAGTAATGCTATGACATCAATATCATTGTGATTTCCATCTAACAGATGAGGAAACTGAGGCACAGAGGTTTATGGCATTTGACCCAAATGCCATAGTGATTGGCAAAGATAGAATTATAACCCAGACAGTCTGCCTAAATAACCTGTTCTCTTGACTGCTATACAAAAATGAGATAAAAGGGTTTATGTTTTTAAAGTGAATAAAGGAAATGGTTTGGTTTTAATGTTTGTGTCTCCCCTAAATTGATATGTTGAAACGTAATCACCAATGTGATGATATTAGAAGTTGGAGCCTTTGAGGGGTGATGAGATTGTGAGAATGGAGGCTTCATGAATGGGATTAGTACCCTTATAAAAGATGCAGTGAGAAGTCATCATCTATGAACCAGAAAATAGGCCCTTGCCAGACACTGAATCTGCCAATGCATTGATGTTGGATTTCCCAGTCTCCAGAATGGTAATAAATAAATTTCTGTTGTTTATAAGCCACCTAGTCTATGGTATTTTGTTACAACAGCCTGAACAGACTAAGACAAGAAGTGTTTTAGTTTCCTAGGCCTGCTGTAATGAAGTCCCACAAATTTGGTGACTTAAAACAACAGAAATTTATTCTCTCACAATTCTGGAGGTCAGAAGTCCAAAATCAGGGCACTGGCAGGGTTGGTTCCTTCTGGAAGCTCTGAGGAAGAATCTGTTCCAGGCCTCCCCTCCTTCCTAGCTTCTGGTGGCTGTTGGCAATCCTTGGTCTTCCTTGGCTTGTAGGTGCATTACTACAATCTCTTCACATCATCTTCTTTGTATTAATATATCTCTCTATCTGTTTTATTTTCTCTTCTCTGATGAGGACTTGTCACTGGATTCAGGGCCCACTGTAATCCAGGGTGATCTCCCCCGAAGATCCTTACCTTAATTTTATCTGCAAAGATCTTTATTCCAAATAAGGTCACCTTCTGAGGTTCCAAGCAGACATATCTTTTGGGGGTCATAATTCAACTCACTACAGGAAGTAATGAAACACTTTGGGGTAGAGGAAAACTTCACTGTAGGCTCTATAGGGCAGAACCAAGTCTGTCTTGCTCACTACTGGATTCCCTTTTCTCAGCAGAATGGATGCCTGATAAATATTTGTTGAAGATTGACTGTTGATGAAAGATAAAAGTGGTGCTCAGGGAATGCTTTTTCTAAAGGATATGAAAGGCAATTGCCTAGGAGCAGGAAAATCAATTAGGATTGAAAAGTGCAAGGATATAATGGTACTTACAAAGTACAAGGATAACAGCAATGTAAAATTCCTAAAAGAAGGGACTCCAGAATTCCTAAAAGGAAGCCCAGAAAGAAGAAAACAGGTAAATTTGAAGAGATTTCTACAGAGCCACATAAGATAACCACTTTTGAAGCTCAAAGAGGCAAACTGCCACTTAAGAAAATAAAGTTTATTATACTAGGTTAGTGCAAAAGTAATTGCGGTTTTTGCCATTACTTTCAATGGCAAAAATTGAAATTGCTTTTGCACCAATCTAATAATAAATCTTTTAGAGGAAAAAGAAATACCACTGACTATTTTCTTATCACCTTAAAATCATACAATTTAATCACAAAGGAGCCAAAATAAATGGACATTGTTTAGGCCACACAAGCACTTTGGAGACATGAACTCACAAAATGCACTTCTATGTACCAGGCTATGTAAGAAACAGCTCATTACACAACTACACACAAGAGACACACTCACACTATGGCACTCCAGGCCAGCTCTAGTCCCAGTGTCAAGCCTCTATCTGCCTGTGTACCCTTCATTAACTCAGGGTTTGTTTATTTGCTCCTAGATGTCACTAATGACTGTTAGCTATTTTACCTGACCATCTCTAATTAAATTGTATTTTCTCTTCAGTCTTGTAAAATCAGCTGGTTTGAACACTTCTGACTCATTAACATGATCAACTGGTTTTTAATAAATGTAAGCTTTGTCTTTCACTGTGGGAAGGAATTATTATTAGGTAAACTCTGAAATACTTTATTTTCAATCTGTGTGACTTTTGGGGCTTTCACTTGCTACACTATGGTCTGAGGCAGCATAATAGTATCACAGTGTTTGGTCCTAATATGCTCTGGAAGTAGGACTTCAACCAAAACACCTGTACTCATTTCTTCTATTTAGTGGAAAGCTGTCACAGCATAGAAGAGAAACCTCTGAAAAAAAATTGCAGATGGGGCTGGGTCCAGTACAACAATATCTCCTTCATCTTTTACCTCTTTGCACTTCAGTGTCCTTCTCTATGAAAAAGGAGAAGAGTTATTGACACATGTTGTCAGTATTTGAGAATTTCAGTAAACCAATCCCTCATTCCAAGGAAGAACTGGAAAATGAGGGAAATAGAATCTTTTGTGAGTTTTAAGTTGAAATATAAGATCAACATTTAATAGTAGTTATAGTGATTTTTGAAACAGGTTTCCCACCAGAATCACCTGTGGAGCTTTTTAAAAATTTAGATACTTAGATTTTACTCTGGAACAGTGCTGCCCAATAAGACTTTCTTCGATGATGCAATGTTCTAGAAGTATGCTGTCCAACACAGTATCCACTAACCACGTGTAATTATTAAGCACTTGAAATGTGACTAATGTGACTGAGGAACAGATTTTTAATTGTATTTAACTTTAATTAATTTAAAGTAACCACATGTGGCTAGTGGATTTCAAATCAGACAGCATACTTCTAGACAAATTGCTTTCAGTGTGTGCTCCTCAAACGCACAGCACCAGAAACAAGCACAGACTTTTCCTTGTCTTCAAAATCTATGCTATGAAAAAAAGGCCTGCTGAAATTTCTTCATATTCCAACTAAAGGAGAAAATAATGGAAGTAATTCAAAGCAATTTGTCTAAAACCAGGAGTTCACTTATACATACAGCCTTTGAGGTAGAGTGGATAACAAATCCCTATGTATCAGGAAAATTACCTGATTTTATTATAAACCCAAAGCAGAGGATTACATTAAAATAAGCCACAAGTATTACCTAAATATTTCCATTGCAAAAGTCATGGTTATGCCTACCAAGCTCTATATTTTAATCTATTGAGTTTGGCCTAAATCTCAAATGAGACTACAATGGAAAAATGGATACATATTCTGGTCCTTCTTATGCTCCTTAGCACAAAATATATTTACACTCATAATGTACTTAGAGAAAATAGATGGAAATTTTAACTGCTAGTGTATGGGCTCTAAACGGCTGGCAAAGGAGCGTCTTCTAAGGAAAGAACTTTGTCCCAGGTTCTACTTCTGGATATAACAGTGGTATCCCTGATGCACCAACAGGAGGGCGCCCATTTAGAAATGCCTTCCTTGGCGTGAATTAGGTCATGAACAGTTTGCTGCACTCTCCCTACATTATCTTGATACACATTTGTAGGGCCTTGGCTCTAATTCTGGGGGCTGTCTACAGACCTGACAAAGATGATAATTTATTTTGGTACTAAGTTCACTGGCCCAGATAGGCATCATTAAGACCATCATTTGATATGTAGAACTAATCAGCCAAAGTGATTTTATATTTTTCATAAACGCAAAAACAATAGCAAATAAAAATACTGTATTCTAAATTATTCTTAATTCATATAGTGAAGGTGTTTATGGGCTAAAATTATAAGGTTTCCTGGTGATTAAAGTTGAAATACTATTGATCATCATTTCAAAGGTTTTATGTGAAACTTGAGAAAATATTGCAACTTGCTTTGACACTGATTGTACTCCTTTAGTAAAAAATTGCTGTGTACTTTCTGTTTCACGTGCTGTGCTCAGCTTTGTGTATCATCTTATTTGTTCCTCACTAAACCCCTGCAAAATGGGTGTGATTATTCCCATTATACAGATGAGAAAACTGAGGCTTGGGAATATTAAATTTTTTGTCCAGGTCCACATAGTTGGTAAATGCCATAAGTAAGGAAAAGACAAAGTCTGGCCCCAAATCTCTTTAAAGTATACCAGTGGCCATCAGTTTAGTGGATTTTTCTGAAATGTGTACGAATATTCCAGAAATTTTAGTCATTCTTACTTTGAACATATTGGAGGTACAGTTACTTTAAGTCAGAGAAAACTACTGAATTATAGACTGTTATCAAAATACTCTTTTACCATCTCAAGCATATGGAATGGCTCAAAGGAACCACTATCTATGAATCATCTGTGGAAGTCTGCTTCTCAGGTCTTTCAAGAATTTGATGATTAGCTGCCAAGCATGCAGTGAACCCAGCGCCTCAAACTGTAAGATATTGGGGATCAGTTGAGCATTTGAGTTGGTGGGGGACAGTAGGGAATAGCATTTCTGTCCAATATGGGATTCCTCTATGGGAAATCTTTGAACCAGTAAAAGCTGGTTCAAAGCCACCCATTGGGCTGAATGAGGCTGTCTCAGAGCTCCAGTGCTGTCTGAGACTCTTCTTGCCCAGTCTGTTTTCCTTCCTGCTTGCCTTTCACAGGTGTCAGACCTGCATCATAGTCTGAAGGTTCTCTGCCTACTCCCAATCTTTCTATCAGTTTTCTTTCAACAGACTTTACCCTATTACAGCTCTTATACTTCTAACTCTGTCCTATTATCTGCTTTCCAGAGGATCCAGTCAACACAACCACTAAAAAAATATTTTCACGTAATGGCCCTACTAGGCCTGTTATTAAAAAATAGTGATTCAACCAATATTTGCTAACGTTCTGTCATATGGAAAGTGCTGTCATGAATTCCATGGGGAGACTAACTGATACAAACAAAAGAAACAAGTGTGCACCTGTAATACAGACTATACTTCATACAACCCTTTAATTCCCAGTAGTTCTTAGGCAGGACACATCCCAAGGAGCCTTGGGAGGATTACTCTGGTGACCCTTCTATTAAAGGATGGCTGGCCATTTCTATTAAATTAAATACTATTCTATAGTTACTGCAGAAGAACAAACCATATTTTTAAACTGTTGGTGACTTACCTAAAATATTATTTAAATGTAGGGGTATCCATAAAGAAAGATGCAACAGCTAGGGGACTCAAAAAGTATGCATGGAGGATTCTATTTCCTTATTTCAGAAATTCCTTTATTTTTCATTTTTCCAGTATTCGTCTAGTGAAATTAGATTACAGTCTCCTTTAAGAAGAAAGAGAAAAATTTTATAGATGAACAGTGATGCACACAACTTATCCTCTCCTGGCAACTTGTTATTCTACTGCTTCCCCAACTGAATTAATCTCTGCGTGAAATGTATGCTGTTTAAGATAAAAAGCATTCGTGTTCTTAATAGGATTTTTCCCTAGGTTTAGTCATTCATTCAGCAAATACTTAGCAACACCAACTCTGAACTAGTTACTGTATAAGTAGGTAGGAATAAAATGGTGAGCAAGACGGACATGGTCCATACTCTTTTGGGTTTAGAGTCTAGCTCAGTCCTTTTCAAACTTTAATGTGCCTACGAATCACTGAGATGTTGTTAAAAATGCATCTTCTGATCTAGGAAGTCTGAAGTGAGTCCGAGATTCTGCATTTCTAACAAATTCTCAGGATGCTACTGATTGTAATCCACAGGTCACACTTTGAGTAACAAAGAACTAGTTTATTGACTCTAAGTTGCTGTGGTATGATACATTCCTATACTGTGAGTACTTCCTCTGACATTTTTGAATCAATGAATATTGCCAATATAATGGAAAATACATGTTTTTACCATGATGCCTGCTGGATGGAATTTTGAGCTGAGAGAGCAATGATTATAGGAATATGATTTACTGAGAGCAAAAAGTAAGAGGCGAGGCATCGAATGACATCATGATGGCACCAAAGAATCGTGGAGTTCCTAGGGACAGGTAAGAAGATGGCCTCTGCGATTATAAAAAGTCGAGAAACAACAGATGCTGGCAAGGCTGTGGGGAAATAGGAATGCTTTTACACTGTTGGTGGGAATACAAATTAGTACAACCATTGTGGAAGACAGTGTGGTGATTCCTCAAAGGCCTAGAACCAGAAATACCATTTGACCCAGCAATCCCATTACCAGTATATACCCAAAGGAATATAAATCATTCTGTTATAAAGATACATGCACATGTATGTTTATTGCAGCACTATTCACAATAGCAAAGACATGGAATCAACCCAAATGTCCATCAGTGATAGACTGGATAAAGAAAATGTGATACATATACACCATGGAATACTATGCAGCCATAAAAAGGAATGAGGTCATGTACTTTGCAGGGACATAGATGGAGCTGGAAGCCATTATCCTCAGCAAACTAACACAGGAACAGAAAACCAAACACCACATGTTCTCACTTATAAGCTGGAGCTGAGCAATGAGAACACATGGACACAGGGAGGGGAAAAACACACACTGGGGCCTGTCATGGGGCCAGGGGGAGGGAGAGAATCAGGATAAATAGCTAATGCATATGGGGTTGAATACCCAGGTGATGGGTTGACAGGTGCCATAAACCACCATGGCACATGTTTACTTATGTAACAAACCTGCACATCCTGCACACATATCCCAGAACTTTAAATTTTATTTAATTTTAAAAAAAGAAGTTGGCCTGTGAACATGTTAGCATAGTCAGGGCAATGACCTACTCTCCTCAAACATGGCACAGAGCTAAAGGGGCCAAGGGAAACATTTTAAAATTTTTTCTAAAATCTGCTCTTTCTTAATCGGTAGTCACCTTTCAGCCCTCTCAAGTATACCACTAAAATTTTTCATTTGGGATGTCAAAAACACACAAAGGTTGGTCCTGTTCAAAATGTATAATCTCACAAATAAAAGGAGGCTAAATTTATTTGACTAGACACCATATGCTCATAAGCAACTGCTTATGCAAATTGTCAAATTATTATATCTTAAAATGGATTTGTGGGAGGTAGAGGGTGGAAGGAAAGAAGCAGGTTAATTTAGCTTTATGCTATTTGAAGCCAAGAAAACAGGTCATGTGGAATTGAGCTGGAAGAAGGGTTGAGTTTTTTCATTTCTTCTAGAGTCAAAAGAGAAAATCAATCTGAGATATAAAAAAGGGTAAAGTCTCTTTGATTTCTACAACCCAAAATGCCCAGGCGCCAATGCATGCAATGAAAGACTGCAGGCATCTTAAACTCACCTACAAATATTTACTTTGCCAGCTAATCTTCAATAGTAAGAAGAACTCCCATTAATAATTTAAACGAGCCTTGGCCAGAAAAAAAATTCAGACAAATGAAGGGGTTAGCAGGAAAGGATCATCAAGGTTAGCTGTGAAGGTAGGTAGGTATGTTTATACTACACATTCATATAAATATATCCCCACATGTGGATGCCAGTGCACAGAACAATGAGATGGGTTTGCAAGAAACCCATCCTGCAAGATCAGAGACAAGTCTACCTGGTGAGTTATAAATGCTGGCGACTTCACATACTTCCCTGAAGACAGAAGTGGAAAATTGACGATAAAGGAGAGAATAAGTCAAATTCATTATACTGCTCACACTTATACACACTATTATGAAATGCAACGATCATTTTGGATCTTTTTAGTGGTTTCCTATTTTTCCTTTTTTGAGTTTTTTAGAAGCAAGAGAAAAAGAGAAGTCAGTTGAAAATGTTGTTACTGATGAGTGAAAAAGATATTAGGTTTTGCTGCCATAGTTACTTGCCAGAAAGTTCTTTTTTCTTTTCTTTTTTTTTTTTTCTGGAGATGTGCTATTTCACTTCAAAAAATGAAAGAGTTTGACAGGTGATTCTAGGGGATCTCTCACTTACAACAATTAGTATCTGGTACTGAGGTGGCCCTTAATGTCACAAAACAAAATAGGAAGTTCCTTTATAAAAATCAAAGAATATTAATTAAAATGCCTATCATAAATTTCTAAATTAAAGTCTGGCCTAAACACCAAAGCAAGCTATTTCAATCACTTCAACAAAAAAAACTAGCATATGAATCAAAGATGGTGGTTATTTGACTGGAAGCAGACATAATCCAATATAGCTGTATTAGTTTTCTATGTCTACTGTGACAAATGACCACAAATTTTGTGATTTAACATAACACAAAGTTATCTTTTCTTTTTTTTTTTTTTTTTTTTTGAGGCGGAGTCTCGCTCTGTCGCCCAGGCTGAAGTGCAGTGGTGCGATCTCAGCTCACTGCAAGTTCTGCCTCCTGAGTTCACGCCATTCTCCTGCCTCAGCCTCCCAAGTAGCTGGGACTACAGGCGCCCGCCACCACACCCTGCTAATTTTTTGTATTTTTAGTAGAGATGGGGTTTCATCGTGTTAGCCAGGATGGTCTCCATCTCCTGACCTTGTGATCTGCCCGCCTTGGCCTCCCAAAGTGCTGGGATTACAGGCGTGAGCCATTGCGCCCAGCCAACACAAAGTTATCTTTTAGTTCTGTAGATCAGAAGTCTGACATGGATCTCACCAAGCTAAGATACACTTGTTGGCAGGGTGCCTTCCTTTCTGGGGGATCCAAGGAGGAAGAATACATTTCCTTCCCTTTTCTAGCTTCTAAAGGTCACCTGCTTTCCTTGGCTCATTGTCTCCTTCCTCCATCTTCAAAGCTAGCAATGTTGGGCCAATTCCTTGTCTCACTGCCATCTCTCTGGTTCTCCCCTGTCTGCCTCCCTCTTCTACTTCTAAGAACCCTTGTGGCACTGAGAGCATCCAAATAATCAGAATAATCTCCCTATCTGATTAGCAACCTTAGTTCCATCTGTAACCTTAATTCATTCCCCTCTGTCATGTAACTTAACATATTCACAGGTTCCAAGGATTAGGACAGCCTTAGGACATCAGGATTTTAAGGACATCTTTGGAGCCCATTCTTCTTCCTACAATAGTAACTTTCGTTAGCTGGCAGAAATGAGGAGCTAAGAAAGACTGTAAATATTGCCCTTACAAATATAACCCTGTCCTCCAGCAGTTTTAGCAAGGCTTCATATGGCCCCAATATAGAATTTTACATATTATAGACTGAATTAAGAGATTCAAGAACCAACTTAATAAATGCCTCACATATATTGCACATTTGAACACCTCTGAAATGGAGATGCATCTTAAAATAGACGGCATATCATAATTTCATGGACAGTAGTTTTATTAATGATATATAATATAATGATTCATCTCAAAATTGATGGTGTCTTTGATTCTGTAAAGTACAATATGATATTTCTCAATTGTATTGGTCAGGCTAGGCTACACTTGCTGCTGTAACAAATACGCCTGCTGACCTAGGTAACAAGGGATTTATAGCTCATTCCTTTTTTAATTATATTTTGCTTTTTAGGTTTAATCAGGAAATTTAAAACTAAATAAAATATTGTTTTTGTCATCAGTTTTATGATAGAATATGAAGAAATAAGCCTATTTTATAATAGTTCATTTTGGTACAAGTCAATATATTATTTTGTAAAAGAATAAAGGTATTTGTTTCTCTATCTAATTGGAACATAAATTTCACATGATTCAATTATATATTTGGGTTTTGTTCATTACCCTAATTTCAGAGTCAGGTAACTAAGATAGACTGTTGTGGTAAGATCAGTAGTGTTCACCCATATCTGATTCTCTCCTCCTTGGGCACAGGAAAGACTGTACTTCCCAGGCCCTTTGTGGAAAGTTGGGCCACATGACTAGTTTTAGTCAATGAAATTGCAAGGAAGTAATTTTCAAGCTGAAGAATTTATGTGTGGGTGTGCTACTTCCAATCTACTTCTGCTGCTTGTGGGAACATTGAAAGCCAAATGCTGAGATGGTGGTGGTATAAAATAGAAGAAGCCTTGGTCCTTAGTCACTGCACAGGGAATATCTGCCCTGAGAGATTCTTTCCCACATAGGACTTTATAGGAATGAGCTATAAATCCCTTGTTACCTAGGTCAATAGGTGTATTTGTTACAGCAGCAAGTGTAGCCTAGCCTGACCAATACAATTGAGAAATATAATATTGTACTTTACAGAATCAAAGACACCATCAATTTTGAAATGAATCATTATATTATATATCATTAATAAAACTACTGTCCATGAAATTATGATATGCCGTCTATTTTAAGATGCATCTCCATTTCAGAGGTGTTCAAATGTGCAAAACTGTGTATTTTAGACTGGATGAAATATGGTATATGTCTAATTGTAAGGAAACCTAGAAAATTTTAAGACTTGACTCATTTTCCAATAAGAATATCAAACTTGAATGTTGAACTATTAGGAGTATAAGTCAAACAGATAAATTTCTATTTATAATACATTGTTAATTTAGTAACAAATTTAAACTTATGTTCCCATATTATATAAAATATTTAGAGCTACTGCTTTTTTCCCACTCTGAAATTTCATGAAATACAATTATTTAAACTCCTCACATGCATACAGACTAAGTGTCCTTGTCATGACTATGAGTTGTGCAACTCCTTACTTCCAGCTCATATTTTTCAGATAAAGCTCTCCTTGAAATCTGCATAGGAAACTGTCAGTACAAGTTCTGTCCTTTTCTTAGCCTATCTGTGCTATTGTCACAAAATACCACGGACTGGGTAATTTATAAAGAACATAAATTTATTTCTCACAGTCCTGGAGGCTGGGAAGTCCAAGATCAAGGCAACAGCAGGTTCGGTTGTGTGGTAAGGGCTGCTCCCTGCTGCCAACATGGCGTATTATTGCTTGATCCTCTGCAGTGAAGGAACACTGTGTCCTCACATGGTGGAAGGTAGAAGAACAAGAGGGATGAACTCACTCCATCAAGCCCTTTGATAAGGGCACTTAATCCCATTCATAAGGAGGGAGTCCTCATGAGTGAATTGCCTCTTAATGACCCCACCTCTTAATACTATCACACTGCCAACAACTGAGTTTTTGAGAGCAGACATTCAAGCCATAACAATCTTAAAGTACAAGTACAGTCATGCACTGCATAATGACGTATCAGTCAACAACGAACCACATATACAGTTGTGGTCCCATAAGATAATAATTAAACTAAAAAATTCCTATTACCTAGTGACGCAGTGTAAACACACATACTGCACTGTCAGTCATATAAAAGTATAGGGCATACAAGCATGTACAATATAATCATAATTATGTTACTACTTTACATATTTACTATACTATACTATTATCATTATTTTATAGTATACTCCTTCTACTTATTTAAAAAATGTTAACTGTAAAACCTTCAGGAGATATTCCAGAGGAAGGCATTGTTATCATAGGAGGTGACAGGTCCCTGCATGTTATTGTCCATGGAGATCTCCCAGTGGGACGAGATATGGAGGTGAAAGGCAGAAGGCCTAGGCTAATATGTGTGTTCGTGACTTCGTTTTTAACAAAGAATTCAAAAGTTAAAAGAATTAATGTTAAAAATAGAAAATGCTTATAGAATGATATAAAAAAGAAAATATTCTTGTACAGCTGTACAATGTGTTTGTGTTTTAAGCCAAGTGTTATAAAATAATCAAAAAGTTTTAAAATTAAATTGTATAAAGTAAAAAAGTTACAGTAAGCTGAGGTTAATTTACTGTTGAAGAAAAATATTTTCAAAATAAATTTAGTATAGCCTAAGTGTTATATATACAGTGCTTATATATAAAGTCTACAGTAGTAAACAGTAGTGAATATCCTAGACCTTCACATTCACTCACCACTCACTCACTGACTCACCCATGGCAACTTCCAGTCCTGCAAGCTCCATTCATAAGTGCCCTATACAGGTGTACCATCTTTTATATTGTGTTTTTACTGTCTATTTTCTGTGTTTAGATATACAAATACTTACCACTGTGTTACAATTGCCTACAATATGCAGGACAGTAATATGCTGTACAGGTTTGTAGTGCAGGAGCAACAGGCTATACCATGGAGCCTAGATGCGCATTAGGCTATAACATCTAGGTATGTGCAAGTATACTCTCTGATGTTTGCTTAAGGATGAAATTGCCTAATGACACATTTCTCAGAACATATTCCTGTCATTAAGCAGTACATGACTGTATTCACGTGAGTGATATTTGAATAGGTTTTTTGTATGTTGTTGTTCATCCTGTGTCTGTAATTTTTATAATATAACTACTTACTATTCTTTTTAAAGTGCTTTCCAAAGACTTGTTAACAAAGACATCCCAGTTTTTCAACCTACGCTAGGGCAACAGTCAGGTTCACAACCTCAGTACTGTAAGGCAGCATAGGATATGTTCTAAGAAAGGAGAAAAATGATCAGGGAGATTAGTCAAAGAGTCCTGGTAGGAGACATCTTCTCACGTCGAATCAAGGAGGACGTCTTTGAGCTGGGTCTTAAAAGATAAGTCCGATTCTAACAAGTAGACAAGAGGTGATAAGCACCATCTAACCATTCTATATCTGTTTTGGTAGTAATAGCTCCTGTCACTGATTGAGCGAAATACAGTAACAGACATGTATGTTACTGTATGTTAACATATGTGTTATATCAAATACATGTTGTCTCACTTAATACAGTAAATTTTTCAGATTGGTATTACTAACTGCATTTTATTGATGAAAAACAAATTTGAAAACTGCAGATGACAGAAATTATGTTCCTTAAAATCACAGTGCAATCACATGGGAAAGTCAGGACTCAAAGGCAGATCTGAAAGATTCCCTTTCATATGGCAGCTTAGCTTTCTTTGGCCATCATAACAATGTTCTCCAAGTGGTAAGCACATAAGTATGGAGCACAACTGTGAAACCTGCATGCATGGAAAATAAATTCATCAACTAAAGGAAAACCATACCGTGGTATATGCAGAGCACTGTCTGAAACACACATTCTATAAGGTTTTACTCTATTACATTTGTTTCTATCCAACCTTAAAGCTATGATTGATACTTATTTAATTTTCTGCTTAATTGATTTGTTCCAAATCTGAGCCATGATGACCCAAGCAAGGCCACTTAAGGATGCCCTCTGCCTTATTAGCATGACCTTTAGTATAATAACTACTATATGATTTATATTTAGCTAAGTGATGATCCATGGGATGACATATAGCCTTCCCAGGCGGTTTACTTATTTTGAGATGTCCGTGGGTGCTGGTTTTCCCCATGAATACCTGACGTTCTGGGACTAATTTTCCCCCTATTTATATTACGTTTGCTTAGGATGCCATGTCAAAGTGGCTTGTTGGGCAGGTGTTAGACAGCACCCAGCTTAATTTTTCAAATTGGATATAATCTTTGAAATTTTAGTTAGTGACTTGTCGTACAGAAGGAACACTCTAAATTATTAAATATGCCTCAGGGTGGAGAATCAGCACATCTTCATTCAGTATTAGATTCATTCTAATTATCCTCTAGAACTCAGAAATTAGTGAGAACTGCAGGCATCTTTATTCCTGAGAGCAAGTATTAGAGTCAGGTGGAAACACTATTATGAAATGCAAATGTAACTCAGTGGAATAAGTGACAATTATGAAATAAAACCACCATCAATTTATCTTTATAAATCAAGTCTTGAAGACATCTAAAGCTCCAGAAGTGACGGAAGATCTAGGAATGTGGAAGTAACCCCTGGCATTTGTTTGGTCTTCTTTTCTGAGAACTAAAGAGCCAGGCAGCTCCACCAGCTTCTCCATCTTGGGCTGGGCATTGGAGTCTGAGCTATCACCTTTTGTTGTATTATGCTCCAGTGGCCTTAGTGAGCACTAGGTCCTTTTAGATCTGCTGGTAGGGCTCTCTGCTACTCAGATGTGTGCACCTCCACCCCCAACTATAAAGACTGAAGAGAGAGGAGCTAAAAGATCCCTGTCCCTTATCTCCAAATAGCCAACTTTCCTCCTTGGAAAGGACCCCAAAGCTTTGTTAACACTCCTTGTGGAAGACAACGTTGTTCAGCTGATGCTAGAAGAAAGTCTCAAACCCTGTGATCACCTTCTGGATTAAGGAGTTTGTGTCCCAGGTGATACCCAAAGATCTTCCCAATTGTTTTCTATCTCCATGACTTCACTCACATCGTTCTTGGCCATTCATTAGCTAACACATAGACAGCTAAGCATTACATTGTTTCTTCTGAATATTTTAATATTTTTTTAATTTATCAATTTTATTTAGGTATAATTTATATACAATAAAATGCACTAATTTAAAGTATTGAGTCCAATGAGTTTTGACAAATTTACACATCTGGGTAGCCATCACCACAATCAAGATAGCAAACTTACAAACTTTTCTATCACAAAAAAAGGTTTCCATGTGCCCTTTTAGAGTCAACTCCCACCACTACCACCCCCAGGCAACCACTGGCCTAATTTCTATTACTATAGATAAGTACTTCTGGTTCCAGAACTCATAGAAATGGAATCATTCAGTATGAACTCTTTTACGTGTGGCTTCTTTCACTTCACATAATTTTAAAAGTATTTATCTATATTGTTGTATATATTGGTGTGTGTTCCTTTTCAGTGTCAAAGAGTATATATTCCATCAACAAACTACAAATTTGCTTATCCTTTCACCTATTGATGGACACTTGACTTGTTTTTTATTTTGAGTACTTATGAATAAAACTTCTAGAAACATTTGTGAACAGGTCTTCTTGTAGATGCATTTTCAGATAACTATCTAAAAGTGGAATTACTGAGTGAGTAAAGGTTTTCTTTCAGATAACTATCTAAAAGTGGAATTAGTGAGTGAGTAGAGGTTTTCTTTTTAAAATTAAAACAATAAAAACATAACATATTTAATTAGCAAAGTTCAAATCACTTTATTTCCACTTGGACATTTAAAAAGAAGAGGTGATATCGTAAGTCATAGACAGCCCAGAACTGTAAAGGGCATGTGGGGCTCCTACAGGCAAGCAAAGCACAACCACCTACAGGTCTGAGCTATCTCTGAGCATTGGGCTCAGTGATTGCTTAAAGAGTGGCTGAACAGGAAATGAAGAGGTGACAGCTGGTCAGGATGTGGGTAAGCAGCCAAGGCCTACTTCACTGCATTCTCCACATCTGAATGGTGGGGTAGGGAGTCATGCTCCTTGTAGACCCAGGCCCTAGAGTCTCAGGCTATTCCAGCTTTGGAAAAAACACTGCTCTGAAAGTCAGCTGTGAGTTGCTAAAAAATAAAATATAAAACAAATGCTAGAGTACAAAGAAGTTCCTGGCAAAAATTAATGTGCAAGATATCATTAGCATTACATATAAGAAGTTAAATGGGGATAATTTCTTTAACATTCCAGTTGTACTTTCTCATTTGGTTATAATGGTTACCCATGACTTTCACTAGATTAAATCAGCTATAGTCAACTAATGCATATCAAATGTAAATAATAAGTCTTATCCTGTCTTTCTTCTCTGCAACTAACTCCTCATATGCCAGAGGGAATTGTCCAATTCAACCTCAAAGACTAATTAAATGTTTGGTGTAGGAGCTTTGAAAGAATGACTGTATAATTTTATTTTACATATACATGCCAAATAAAAAATAAATACAAATTTCCTTTGGGTGCTGAAAGTTTGCAGTCTAATCTTCTAAAAGGCAAAAAATAATTAACCACTTCAGAGTTCATCAACAAATTAAGTCTCATGTTTCAAAATTTCACTTCAATTAATCTCTGTGATCACTAATTTTCTGGTAGTTGCCCACCATTCTAATGATTTGTCAAACCCAAAGGTTGCATTTTCTTTTTTTCTTCTTTTTTTACTTTTATTTTAGGTTCATTATAGCACTATTCACAATAGCAAAGACATAGAATTGACCTAAATGCCTATCAAGGCTGTATTTTCATAGTTCTAAGTTTATTTTTTGAATTTAATATTAAGAAAGAATAGCATTTAGAAGGTATGAATTTACAGACAGGAAAAAATAACGGAAATGTTTAAAGTATTTTACAAGGCATCTGATCCACCTAAAACTATTATGTATTTTTTCTAATCTGATAGTTTATCATAGAGGCCTAAATAGTGTTTACATTACAACATGAACAAAGTGGTCAAAGAAGTAGATTTGACGATTTCCAGTCTGGCTGGTAAATCAACACACTGTCTACCATACTGAAACCTCCATGACAAAAGACAAAATGAGAGGTAAGAAGGACATAGCTTGGGTTTTCCATAGTAGCTGGAACCTGTGGTCAAGGCTAGCTTGGGAGTAATTTGGCTATAACAGTTCACAAAAATTAGCAAAGAGACACATGACAAAGACTCTGCCTTTTGAAAGTCCAGTTCCTTTGACATGTTTTTCTGTTTCTTACAAGTCAATTGCTTCTACCTACCACCACCGAAAACACACACTTTGGGGGAAATGGAAAGGGTGGTATACTAGATAGAAAGCAGGAACTCTGTGGTCCTTAAGCAAACCACTTAATGTCTTTGGCTTCTCATCTATGAAATGCAGTATTAAGTACTTTTCCTATTTGAAACCAGGAAGAAGCTCAGACTTTTTGGTCCTAGACCACCCATTCAATATCCTGTCCTGGGGCTTCCTATGCATAAATAGTGATGGCTCTGTCCTCCAGCAGAGCACAAGCCACAGGTATTGGGAGCTACATATTGCCTAACTTTCTCAGCTTTCTGTCACTGGAAAAGGGTCCGATCCAGACCCCAAGAGAGGGTTCTTGGACCTCGCACAAGAAATAATTCAGGGCAAGTTCATAGAGAAAAGTGGAGGCAAGTTTATTAAGAAAGTAAAGAAACAAAAGAGTGATTACTCCATGAGCAGAGCAGTGGCATGAGCTGCTCGACTGAATAGACTTATAGTTGTTTTTTGATTATATGCTAAACAACAGGTGGATTATTCATGAGTTTTCCAGGAAAGGGGTGGGAAACTCCCAGAACTGAGGATTCATCCTACTTTTAGACCATATAAGGTAACTTCCCATGTCATCATGGCATGTGTAAACTGTCACGGTGCTGGTGGGAGTGTCTTTTAGCATGCTAATGCATTATAATTTACATATAATGAGCAATGAGGATGACCAGAGGTCACTTTCTTTGCCATCTTGGGTTTGGTGGACTTTGGCTGGCTTCTTTACTACAACCTGTTTTATCAGCAAGGTCTTTGTGACCTGTATCTTGTGCTGGTCTCCTGTCTCACCCTGTGACAAAGAATGCCTTAACCTCCTGGGAATGCAGCCCAGTAGTTCTCAGCCTTATTTTACTCAGCTCTTATTCAAGATGGAGTCGCTCTGGTTCTAATGTCTCTGACATTTCTATTTTTAGAAAGAGAAGTCCATGGGATATTTCTATACTTCCAAATTTCACTTTTGGAAATTAACAAATAATATATCAAATACCATAAAAGGCCTAAGACAGAAATCCATCTGAAATATATATTTGTTTGTCAAGAATGTCTGTTACAAGATGGCTTCCATAGCACCATTTTAAAAGCTGGCTAATGCCAATCTAAAGAGCTTCAGGTGCTTGTCTCCATACAGCTGAAGGAGGCAGCACAGGCTTTAACAGCTCTAGTAAGAAGACTTCAAGTGCAAATCTGGTGAGAAGACAAGATAATCCAAGGTTCACTACCTTAATTCTCAATTTGAGAAGACAGCTAAACTGCTGCCAAAAAGAGCTGTTACATCATTGTGCAGCCATAAGGATGCACTTGCAGACCTCCAACAACACAGAGTGCAACTGGCCCAGGATCCCAGCTGCTATGCTCTGAAATCCATCTCTGCATTCTCTCAGAGGCTATGATGCCTCCCGATGGGCTACTACTGGAGCACAGAAGGAATACAAAGGCAGGCCTGTAGGATGGCTGACTTTGCTAGAGGACTTCCTGATGCCTTTGCTACCTCTAACTGCAGAGGAATCTAGTTCACCTTCACCAAACCTCTCTTTTCACTTGGAATAAGACTTTAATCAGTGGTCTAATGGTTCCCCTGGTTTTTTCTAGCTCTTTCCTATTTTCTTTTATATAAGCATTTTCTCTAAAAGTAACGTTGCAATTGTAGTCTAGTCTTAGCATCTGCTTCTCAGAGGATCAGACTAACATTCACTCATGTATTCATCCACTCATTAATTCACTCAAGAAATATTTATTGAGTGCTTAGCATGTTCCTGGAAATTTGCTCTAGGCACTGGGGAGACTGGTGAACAAGACTGAGAAGACACCTATATTGATAACCCTCCTCTGCTCAAAGTGTCATAACTGCTTCCCCTTCTTTAGCACTTACTGTGTGCTGGGCACTGAACTAAGACCACTCCACATGCCACGTCTCATTTGCTATTCACAACAACCCTGAAAGAAGGCATTATTATTCTTATTTCATAGATAAGAAAACTGAGACCTAGAGAGATTATGTTGTCAGGGCCTTCTCTGATAGGGCCAACTTTTTTACTCCAAAACTCATGCATTTAACCATTAGCTTATGATGTACCTACTCCATTTGCATGTATCTGCTCCATTTGGACCACTAATTAAAGTCTTATTCCAAGTGAAAATAGAGGTTTACTGGAAGTGTACTCGTTTGCTGTGTGGTCTGAGGTAGCAAAGGCATCAGGAAGTCCTCTAGCAAAGTCAGCCATCCTACAGGCCTCCCTTTGTATTCCTGCTCTGAGCACTTTTATTTTCTGGTAATGCACATCTGCATAGCTGATTTTCCAAAGCCTGGCTTCATTTCTTCAATTTAAATTTATGACAACTGGAAGAACCATTTACAGAACAGGGAAGACACAGTGCTCCAGAGTATTCGGAGTTTGCACAATTCCAAAGTCAGCTTAACGACAACAGTGTTTAACCCACCCAGAAGAGGTCTCTCACCAGGTGTGAGTTTCCAACTCATCCTCACTATTGCAAAGAAGATAGAGAGGACAGAAAAATCCTTGGCTTCTCTACTTTTCATCCTGGTCATAGCCCAGCCCTGGTAAACTGATAATAGCTGCACACACTCAGAGCTTCTCCCAGAGGCCAGACAGACCCACTGCAAAGTCGGCCACAGCAACCTGTGCAGCAGCTGTGAGCATCCTTCTGAAAATCAATGCAAACACATACCATGGTATCCAAGGTCAGATGTGGCATCCTCTACAATTGATTCAAGTTCGTGGAGGTCCATGGAAGGAATAGGCTGAGACTCAGGCAGGTTCTCTAAAGTTGGTTCATCAGATTCCTTGTGGAAGGTAATTAACAATTCATGAGATGCTGATAGAAGGAAACAGCACTACCACAAATGAAAAAAATATTCTTATTTAGAAGACTACTTGGAAACAAGCCTACCTAATCCTCTCCCTTAAACGTTTTCAAACTTCAGGAGGTAAGGTGGGATAAGAGAAACAGCCCTGAATCAATGAGACAGGTGACCTTGCACAAAGCATTTAACCTTCATGGGCTCAGTTTCAGGATCATGACTAGATAAGCCAAGTGGGATGCCCAAGGTACCAATTGAAGGTACTCACTCCATTGACAGCTGAGGGGGGCCTTCTTCAATTTGGCACCTATGGTGTTCCACTTACCACACCCTACTCCAGCCCTGCTCAGTTTCTGCATCTCAAAATTAAAGGTGTTAGCCTGAATGACTTACAAGTTCCCCTCTAGCTTTAAAGCTCTGTGATTCTATGAATTCCAATTTCCTAAAAGAAAAAGATCTAAGAGACCACATGATGAAAGAATTCACACTTCAAAAAAATAAAAGGTTTAGCCAAAATCAATAGGTATTTCAAGAAATCATTTTGCCTTTTTCCCTTAGTTTTGTGTGTGTGTGTGTATTTGTGTTTGAACCTGGAGCTGGTGCTGAGTTGATCTATTTTTCTTGATAAATGGTTTTCATGGGAAACTACTCCAAGAGTGTCTTTTTAATAAAAGAAAATTTAAAAGAAAGTTCAAACTAATCTTAATAAGTAAAATGAAGCCATGCCACACTGCAGTGCGGTATTTGTGAGAATATCATCATAAAGTGTTTTTAAGAAGTCAGTTTTCTGTACCGCATAATAATTGTTTCAGGAGGCGAAATTGGTTCCAGATTTCAAAGGATCACTGAGAGCACACAGAGAACTTTACAGATAAAGAACAGAGAGTACATGAAATACGTCTTTACGTGCACTTCAGAAATTATTTGAAAATAAGTATGTATTTGGACTCTCAATTAACTTTGATTTGCTGAGTTTCTCTTTGAAGAGAAAGATAGAATTGTTATAATTGCTTCTCTTAGAAAGAGAAGGACATGGTCTGATCTTTGATCCCCATTACCTCTCCACGTATGGAGACCTGATCTGCTATGTACTTTTCACAGAGACCTAACTTTAGCCCCAGCAAAACTGTATATGCCACAGGATCAAAGACAGACCTGGCCTGTCTTATGTATTATGGTATCCAACTGTTTTAAGCTGTGATTCTTTAGAGAAACAGTGCCTAACATGATTCCACATTCGATGGTGCTTCAAGATTTCAAAGCCCAAATTCAGCCAAGCAGAAAATGCCTGCTAAAATAAAAGGCCTTGTCAGCTAGGGTCTGAAAAACAAAGCAAGCCACTCTCTCTACATGCCTCAAATAATTTTTATAACATGTTTGAGAGGCGACATAGAGCCCATTCTCTCCCATAACTCTGATTCTCTCCTGTAAGTGCTTTTGAAATATAAAGTAGCTTGCTTCCACCAGGCAAGAGAGATGCAAAAAGGAATAGAGAACAGAGCCCCAATGAGATTAGCAAGAAATTAAATCATAAACATGTATATGGGCAAGGGGGAGGAAAGCACTCAAAGATGGGAGCAGTTTCCTCTTCCTCTTCTCCTTATCACATTTTTCTTTAGCCTCTTGCATCTGATTAATCTAATTTCTTTCCTATATTTATTTCATCTTTTTCAGCTCAATGAAGCTTTTTCCTGCTACATTTAAAACCCTTCAGGCTCCTCTGCAAAGTGTTCGGCTTCCCATTTTCTTTCCCCTTTGTTCTCTGGATATCATTAAACCTGCCTCACTTTTGTGCTTGTGAATATGATTAAACTTGCCTCTTCCCTGCCTTGCCACCTCTCTTCATCCTCGTCCTGGGGTGAACAAGAAAGTCTTCCCTCAGGTTGCTCCTCCTTTTCTTCCATTCCTTTTAAATGTGTTTTTTCCTAAAGAGATTATGACAAAGTCTGTTCAGCAGTGGTTTTCCAAGTCTTTCTTCATCTAGAGGTGAAGTGCTGCTTTCAGGAGGCCCATTTTCTATTCATTATTAATCAAGGTATACATAGGAAACAGACCAGCAGCATAGGAATTAGCAGAGGGATTATAAGAAATGCAACGTCGGCCGGGCGCGGTGGCTCACGCCTGTAATCCCAGCACTTTGGGAGGCCGAGGCGGGCGGATCACGAGGTCAGGAGATCGAGACCATCCTGGCTAAAACGGTGAAACCCCGTCTCTACTAAAAATACAAAAAATTAGCCGGGCGTAGTGGCGGGCGCCTGTAGTCCCAGCTACTTGGGAGGCTGAGGCAGGAGAATGGCGTGAACCCGGGAGGCGGAGCTTGCAGTGAGCCGAGATCCCGCCACTGCACTCCAGCCTGGGCGACAGAGCGAGACTCCGTCTCAAAAAAAAATAAATAAATAAAAATAAAAAAAAAAAAAGAAATGCAACATCTCAGGCTGCACCCTGGACTAATTGAATCAGAATCTGCATCTTAACAAGATTCATAGGCAATCAAGGTGCATTTCAAGTTTGAGAATACTATAAGCCATAAGAATTTGGAGGAGGGTCCATTGATTGTGGACCCAAGTGGGCTGACAAGGTTTTCCTGAAAACAATTGAAAGAGAGATGGGATGCTGACAATGTGCCAGAGGGAAATGACTGATGTGACTGCACAAAAGAGGGCAGGATGCCTGGCGATGCTGAGCCATCCAGTCTGTGGGCCTGAACCAGCTGGCAAGAGGACACAGTGTTCAAACAGAACAGACTCAACAGCCATCTATCTGCCTGGAGCATTTCTGCCCCCATCAATATATAAACATAGGAAACATGCTTCTGGAAAGCTCAGGGCCAAAGACAGTGGTGGCACTAATCTCAGAAGATCAAAGAATAAACCACAGTCTTTGTCCAGAACAGCATCAGCATCGGTCGCTTCCCCTCCTGCTCCCTTTGCTCCTTGCTGATGGGAAGGGGATGAAAATGGGAAGTCACTGGGGAAGTGATGAGTTGGGAGTTCATAGGATCCTTGTGAAATCCTCTCTTTCTTCATCTGAGTTGGGCCAAGATCAGAACTTTGTGTCTAGCTCCCATGTTCTGTGGAGTAATATATGCATAAGAACATTTTTTGGGATGCTGCCTGCCATATGGTCTCAGGCTTATCTTCAGTTACTTCAGGGCCCCCAAAGGACCTTGATTTATAAGAGGAAGACAAGACCTCATAGAGTATAGTTATAACACCAATAATAATTCCATCCAATAAAAAAGAACACAAACATGGTGATCTTGAAGGGTCAAAGAAGAAAAGCAAAAAAGGTAAGTAAATTATCAGACACTAATATTTAAGCTCATACTTGAAACTACATTTCTTTTTTGCCATATGGTAACTTCAAGAATGAAGTCATTTAGATTTTAAAGAACAAAATAATACCATGCCTGTACTTCTCAATTTTCAATCTTAGGGGGAAAATCCCTTAGAATCAGTGATCCCTGATTTATAAGAGGAAGACAAGACCCTGAAGAGATTATGACAAGGTCTGCTGAGCAGTGGTTTTCCAAGTCTTCCCTCATCTGAGGTGAAGTACTGCTTTCAGGAGGCCCATTTTCTATTCATTATTAATCAGAGTGTACATAGGAATCAGACCAGCAGCATATGAATTAGCAGAGGACTTATAAGAAATACAACATCTCTGAGCATTCTAGAAAAGTATGTCCCCATTTCTATAGCTGAATAAACAAGTACTTTACACATTAACAAACTCGGAATTCTTATAATTCTGTCAGCCTCCTTGTCAGGATTTGTGGGAATGTGCAGTTCTCAGCACTGCAGGGGGACAAAGCAGACTGCACCAGAGAAGAAGAGCCACCTTAACAGGCTATCATTTGCAGGGCCTAGAAGTGTGTGGGAAGCTGAAGAAATGCACCCAGTTTTCAGAGGGGGCTTGAGTCCTTCCATAGTGGTGGCATCAAGACCTTTCTCCAACTAGGGATCCAGCCCTATTGTTGACCCCATGGCCTTTCAGTCAGCAGGTTCTTCACTCGCCAAGTTCCCTGAGCAGGAAAGAACCCATCTCCCAATTCTCTGTAGCCTGCAACAGATCCCACAGGGGGCCTTCACTTAAATGGTGTGTCAGAGGGGTGGGAAAAGGGGGATGGAATTGAGCACATATTACCATCATCCCCACATTGTCTGCTAACTGGTCCATCAA
This sequence comes from Homo sapiens, assembly GCF_000001405.40. Taxonomy (NCBI): domain Eukaryota; kingdom Metazoa; phylum Chordata; class Mammalia; order Primates; family Hominidae; genus Homo; species Homo sapiens. The sequence continues at coordinate 131,166,572 of NC_000003.12, read as the reverse complement.
ACAGAGGAAGACTCCTGAAATTAGAGGAAGCTAGGCCTCTTATTGGTCCCCACTTGGGATTTTTAGAACTCCAAAGCACACAGAACCCCTAAATAATTGAGAAAGATGCATTACTGGCAGATCTCCCCCTTAAAGAGGGGCCCTGTCTGGCTGAGGGTGAGGTCTCCTGCATGCCCCAGGGCTTGGAGCCATCTGATAACTAAGCTACAACAGAATTAGCATCCCTGGGGCTTGGGGGATTGTCCCCACAGCCTCAGGGAGCTTGGTGCTTCCTGCTAAAGGAGAGAATCTCTCACATGCAGGGATCTCCGTGAATAAAAATCAGAATTTGAGACAGTAGAAGTTCTCTATAAAAATGGCTTCATCCCAAGTTGCTTTTACCTGAAGTGCTATGAGGTTGGTATTGATGTCTATTGCCCAAATTTGACGTTGTAAAGACCACCTTATTAATCAGAGCCTACCCAAGGCCTGTGGAGATATTGTCAACCATTAGAGAAAATGGTGTTTGCTATTTACAGATTTGGAATGCCGAGGACATGAATTTGGGGTCATTTCATGTGAATCTGCAACTCTATTCATTATTGAACATCTATGACAGTTAAAATTTGAATGAAATTATTAACACAATGTACAACAAAATGGGTAGGAAACAAAATAAAAAGGAAAAGAATAAAAACCAGACAAAGAGAACAATGTACTAAAGAGGTAAAGCAACAATAGCATGGGTGGAATTAAAAATTAGATATACACACATTTGTTCTGTCAGCTAATCATTTTAACCCATCAGTTATGCATTCAGTGCCAATTCAGTTGTCTTGTACAGAGTAGGAGCTTGATTTTTGTTAAATGGATCAATTGATCCACCTCTCGCTACAGCCGCTTTGAATCGTTGTCACCAGCTGTTGACCTACATTCTAGAATCCTTCCTGGAATTGGGTGAAGTTAATCTGGATGTTCTTGTTTTCTCCCTTGTCCCTTTTCCTACCCAATCATCGCCATGAATCTAAAGCAAGAAAAATTTTTATGTAAAATTTAAAATAAGAGGGTACTTACATGGAGTACATCAACACTCAGCTGCTGAAAGTTCCGAGATCTCAATTCTTGCATTCGTTTGCTATTTTCTTCATATTTTTCTTCCACAATCTTTCTGTAAATTTAAAGTGAATGTAGAAAAATAACTGCGAATTGCTAAAACCATGTCTATATTATACAGATGAGTGTGATCCTTATTTCAACAGACTGACTGGGGGATTAGAAAGCCAGGCCATCAGGTCTCTTCCTCATCAAGGTGAATGTGGTGCAGCACCCGGCTGATTCTCTTTTAAAGCACACACAAGATACTCTGGTTCCTTATTCACCCTTACAAATCCCAAAATGCAGCAGCAGGAGAAGGCAGTGCTCCTCTCTGTGAGTTCTCCAAGTGCAATGACAGGGCTATGTGTTCCCAATGCCTAGCACAGTGCCTAACACATACTAATAACACAAAAACTGCTTTCAGGATGAACAAACCCATAAAAAGTAAAACTAGAGCTACATATCAAAGGATTTATGAGGAAATATCTGGGAGTCATTGCGCAGGGGAATTTTTCTAGACACATTTACTTTGTTTTCTCTATTACAGGAGAGTGAGTTTAAGCGACCTGCTACTAAACTGGAAGAAAGATTTGAGTTCTTATGATTACTTGTGGGCTAATTTATACTCAGGTTTTCATCACTGAACACCCTTCTAGTCAAACTCCCTTGTCTCTAAAACGGGTACATTATAATTCTTCTGACAATAGAGTCATTTTCTAGCTAAAACACATGATCCCCCTTGATTCTATAATCAACAACTAGAAACAATTCCAATACAACTTATTCACAAAATCAAGACCAAACTTTATTTAAAACCATTACTTTCAAATAAGAAAAATATATTAGTGTATCATGTGAAAGATATGTGACTTCTTTGTATTAAAAAACAGTTTTAATGTATTTTGTAATCTGTATATGTTATTAAATTTGCCTTTTTAATCTGTTCCTATCAGAGATTTAATTTTCCTTTTACCCCCAGCCAATGACACGAATCATGGCACCTTGGAAATATCACCATTTCTGAGGTATTACGAACAGATTTGGGGCTGTGAGCTGATGCAATGGCTCAAGCAATTTATGTGAATATATTTTCCCAGTAAAACTCACACTCAATGTCATAGTGGTTTGCAGAATCCAACTTGTATTGGCTCAAGAGCAGATTGTGTAAATATCTTCCCAACTGAATATTAAATGGTATCATATTGTTAGCTTGATATTGGCCACAGTGGAAGTATTTATATCACAGAAATCAGCAAACAAATAAGCAGTCCCCTTCAAACCCAGAGCTGGTTGTTAAATATTTACCAGCACACCACTGCTCACAATGTACTTTCATGGAAATCTTTCTCTACCAATTTATTAAAGAAAGCAAATGTTACGGGAAAATAGACTCATAGATTCTTACTTGGCTTATCATGATATTCATTCTAAGTACAAGGACACCTCTAAATCATTTTTTGGATAAATTAACAAGGGAACAAAATGCGTAGATTTGTGTTCAGGTTCTTTCTGTCTCTCTAGTTCTTGATTGGGGCTCCTAAACTACCAAAATATTGGCAGAGGAAGAAAAAATAAGAAAAATTTGGAAATTTGATAACCTACCAACACATAAATCAGTCTTTCAGAAATTGAGGCTCTAAGCCTCTTTGAAATTCCATTTTTATACATGTATTTTTTCAGCTTTATTAAAATTTAATTGACAAAAAATGTTTAGATTTATATATACTGTGTGATGTTTTTATATATGTATACATTGTGGGATAATTAAATCAAGCTCTACTCTGTTAGCAATTTTCAAAAATACAAAACATTGTTATTAATTACAGTCACCATGCTGTACAATAGATCTCCAGAACTTATTTCTCCTGTCTGAAACTTTTTACCTTTTGACAACATTTCCCCATTCATGCCCCCCTGCCCCTAGTAACCCCATTCTACTCTCCCCTTTTGTGAATTTAACTTTTTAAGATTCCATATATAAGTGATATCATGCAGTATTTGTCTTTCTATGCCTGGCTTATTTCTCTTAACATAATGTCCTCCAGGTTCATCCATGTTGTTGCAAATGATGGGATTCCCTTCTTTTTTAAGGCTAAATAGTACTCCATTGTGTGTATTTATACCACATTTTATTTATCCCCTTATCTGTTGATGGATACGTAGGTTGAGTCCATATCTCGGCTACTGTGAATAATTCTGCAATGAACATTGGAGTATAAGTATCTTTTCTATATACTGATTTCATTTTCTTTGGATATAAGTCCAAATGTAGGATTGCCAGATCATATGGTAGTTCTATTTTTTAATGTTTAGAGGAATCTTCATGCTATTTTTCCATAATGGCTGTACTGATTTACATTCTCACCACTACTGCACAAGGGTTCCCTTTTCTCTACATCCTGGCTAACACCTGAAATTTCACTTTTTCATGTAAATACTCTAATTACTAGTGATATCTCCCACCAGCAACATCGCCCTGAGCATAGACTTTTCTAAATGCTTCACTTGACAGAACAGAGCTCTGTTTCCAGTCTACTTCTTCCAAAAGCTAACAATTTCCTGCCAATAAAGTCTCCTTCCTATAAATAAGTGAGGTCTCCTGGTAGAAGGTACGCAGCAAGCACCTAGGGAATCCGGGTGAAACAGTGATGTCTCCTGCTGGGGTATGTGCAGAAGCTGTCAACAACAATGAGATTTCGTTTGGAAACTGACCCTATTTTCATCACTAATAACCTCCCAAATAGTTAATCTTTCCCTTCACACAAGACTGAAAGCCTGATATTAATAGCACCTGACATTCAATCTATGGCTCAATAATCATCTTGGAGTGAACAAGTGAATGAATAAACACATAAATACATAATCGTATGCATTGGGGTTTCCTGTTTTGGTTTTTGCTTTTCTCTGTAAATTCCCTGAGAGCCCTGAGAAGTAGTCCCGAGCATGAGTGCCTAAAGGAAAAGCAGCTTACTTCAGCTTCCTGGCTTTCTCATCAGCCGCCTGGAGCTTCCTCAGCCGCATCCTTTCTCTTGGCGTCATTTTCTGTACTTCTGACAGTGCCCTCAGAGTCTGCAGGTGGATCCTTTTTTGCCTATAAATAACAAAGATTCCCCTCATATAGCCCATCCCAAACATGTTCAGAAAAATTAAACAAATATTTTATAAAAGTATCACTACACTACTGAGAGCAAAAGCATCTTGAGACAGGCCAGGCAAAAACTAATAAGCTTTGGGTATGTAATGAGCCAACCAGGACTGTAGTTAATAAGCAACATTTTTCAAATTAGATTTTTGTTTAAAGGAAATTATTTACTTTCCAAATTCCTGCTCATTTCATCGCCAATGACTAGTTTTCATAATGTAAAACAAATTAGGATCTTGGCCATTAAAGAGTAAATAGACTGGCCCAGTAATTCCACCATGTGGATAAAACACATAATCTTTAGAGTTAGGCAGGGTTCGAATCCCACCTCCACCACTCATTAGCTCTGTGGCCTTGGGCAAGTAACTGAACCTCCCTGAATCTCAGTTTTCTCATCTGTAAAGAATGGGCTACAGTAAGTATCATATGAGATAACATATGCACAGTGCCTAGCACATAAAAAGTATTCCAAAATGCTAGTATTTTAATAGCTAAATCTTATTTTTTTATTTTTTAACTTTTATTTAAAGTTCAGGGATGCATGTGCAGGTTTGTTATATAGGTAAACTCAAGTGATAGGGGTTTGTTGTACAGATTATTTTGTCACCCACGTATTAAGCCTAGTACCCATTAGTTATTTTTCCTGATCCTCTCCCTCCTCCCACCCTCCACCCTCTGAAAAATTCCAGTGTCTGTTGTTCCCCTCTATGTGTCCATGTGTTCTCATCATTTAGCTCCCACTTATAAGTGAGAACATGCATTATTTGGTTTTCTGGTCATGCATTACTTTGCTAAGGATAATGGCCTCCAGCTCTGTCTATGTTGCTGCAAAGGACATGATCTTGTTATTTTTATGGCTGTGTAGTATCCCATGGTGTAAATGTACCACATTTTCTTTATCTAGTGTACCATGGATGGGCATTTAGGTTGATTCCATGTCTTTGCTATTGTGAACAATGCTGCAATGAACATATGCGTGCATGTGTCTTTATGATAGAATGATTTATATTCCTTTAGGTATATATCCAGTAATGGAATTGCTGGGTCAAATGGTATTCTATTTTTAGGTCTTTAAGGAATCGCCACACTGTTTTCCACAATGGTTGAACTAATTTACACTTCCACCAATGGTGTATGAGTGTTCCTTTTTCTCTGCAACCTCACAAGCATCTATTTTTTGACTTTTTTTTTCTTTTTTTTTTTTTTTGAGATGGAGTCTTGCTCTGTTGCCAGGCTGCAGTGCGGTGGCACGATTTCGGCTCACTCCAACCTCAGCCTCCTGAGTAGCTGGGACTACAGGCACACGCTACCACGCCCAGCTAATTTTTGTCTTTTTAGTAGAGACGGGGTTTCACCGTGTTGGCCAGGATGGTCTCGATCTCTTGACCTCATGATCCACCATTCTGACTGGTGTAAAGCTTTCTGAGAACTTGCCCTATGAATCTGGGTGCTCCTGTATTGGGTGCATGTATATTTCGGATAGTTAGATCTTCTTGTTGAATTGAACCCTTTACTATTATGTAATGCTCTTCTTTGTTTTTGATTATTGTTGGTATAAAGTCTGTTTGGTTTGAAATTAGAACAGCAACCCCTGCTTTTTCCTATTTTCCATTTGCTTGGTAGATTTTTCTCCATCCTTCACTTTGAGCCTATGTGTGCCATTGTATGTGAGATGGGTCTCAAAGACAGCATATAGTTGGGCCTTGCTTCTTTATCCAACTCGACACTGTGCCTTTTAATTGTGGCATTTCGTCTGTTTACATTCAAGATTAGGATTGATCTGTGTGGATTTAATCCTGTCATCATGATGTTATCTGGTTATTATGCAGACTTGTTTGTATGGTTGCTCTATAGTGTCACTTAGAGTCTGTGTACTTCAGTGTGTACCAGTAGTGGCTGGTAATGGTCTTTCCTTTCTATATTTAGTGCTTCCTTCAGGAGGTCTTATAAGGCAGGTCTGGTAGTAACAATTCCCTCAGTATTTGCTTGTCTGAAAAGGATCTTATTTCTCCTTCGCTTATGAAGCTTATTTTGGCAAGATATGAAATTCTTGGTTGGAATTTCTTTTCTTTAAGAATGTTGAATGTTGGCCCCCAATCTCTTCTGGCTTGTAAGGTTTCAGCTGAGACATCTGCTGTTAGTTTGATGGGCTTCCCTTTGTATGTGACCTGACCTTTCTCTCCAACTGCCTTTAAAATTTTTTCTTTCATTTTGACCTTGGAAAACCTCACGATTATGTGTCCTGGGGGATGATCTTCTTGTGAAGTATCTTACTGAGGCTCTCTGCATTTTCTGAATTTGAGTGTTGACCTCTTTAGCTAGGTTGGGGAAGTTCTTATGGATGAAATTTCTATGTTTCTATGCAATGTATTTCTGTGTTTTCCAAATTGCTTCAATTTTCCCCACCTCTTTCAGGGACATGATTTGACCTCTTTTACATAATCCCATATTTCTTGGAGGTTTTATTCATTCCTTTTTCTCTATTCTTCCCTGACTGTCTTATTTCAGAAAACCAGTCTTCAAGCTCTGAGATTCTTTCCTCAGCTAGGTCCATTCTGATACTAATACTTGAGATTGCATTCTTTTTTTTTGGAGATGGAGTCTCATTCCATCATCCAGGCTGGAGTGCAATGGTGCTGTCTCAGCTCACTGCAACCTCCGCCTCCCAGGTTCAAGCGATTCTCCTGCCGCAGCCTCCTTGGTAACTGGGATTACAGGCACATACCACTACACCTGGCTAACTTTTGTATTTTTGTAGAGATGGGGTTTCCCCATGTTGGCCAGGCTGGTCTCAAACTCCTGACCTCAAATGATCCACCCACCTCAGCCTCCCAAAGTGCTGGGATTATAGGCATGAGCCACTGGGCCCGGCCTGAAATTCTTACAGTGTGGTTTTCAGCTCAATCAGGTCAGTTACATTCTTTTCTATACTAGCTATTTTTCTGTCAGCTCCTGTATCATTTTATTATGTTTCTTAGCTTCCTTGGATTGTGTTTGAATGTGCTCCTGCATCTCAATGATCTTCATTCCTATTAATATTCAGAATTCTATTTCTGTCATTTCAGCCTTCTCAGTCTGTCTCAGAACCCTTGCTACGGAGGTACTGTGGTCACCTGGAGGAAAGAAGGCAGTCTGGTTTTTTGAGTTCTCGAAGTTCTTGCACTGGCTCTATCTCATCTTTGTGGGCTGAAGTTCCTTCAATCTTTGAAGATGCTATCCTTTGGATGTTTTTTCCTTTTATTCTACTTGATAACTTTGAGGGTTTGATTGTGTTATAAGGTGGATTCAGTAGACTGGTTTTGTTTCTGGAAAATTTTAGGCAGCCAGTGCTCAGCTCCCAGCTCCTGGGCTGTGTGCTCTAACTCTGGGAGACTTGTACTGGGCCCCAATTTTGCTCTCTGGCTCCTCAAGGTCGTCAACTCATTGCGCTGGGGGGGCCTATGTGCTCCTGGACAGCTGGTCACTACACTCTGATGGATGGTGCCAGCCATACCATTTTGTAGGATGGTGGCAGCAGATCCATCCTTGCTTGCATGTGCCAGCAGCGGCAGTGGTGGTGGAGTGGCAGTGTGGAGGGGTGCAGACTTGTCAGCTGTGGAAGGGTGCTAGCAGGTGTCAGGGTGCCTGTCTCCCTGTGGGCATTCACAGCAGCAGCAGAGACAGAATGGCTCAGGGAGCCGGGGCCCTCCACTGGCAACTGTGCATGTGGTCCTGCTGGTGGTGGTGTTAGCACAGGGTGCAGCACTTGTGGGCATAGGTCTGTGTGCAACCTCTGTGCATGCTGACACAGGTAGGGGTGGCCACTCAGGGCAGGGAAGGGTCCGCTGTTCTCTGCACCTAGTTTCACTCTAGCAGCAGTGTTGGTACAGGGGCAGGGTGCTGGTAGGGCCAGGGCTGGCTGTCTCTGTGCCCGCCAAGGCTCTGATTGCAATGGCAGGGGAGGTGAGGTGGGATACACTCCTGTCAGCAGCAGTAGCAGGGCAGTGTGCATGCACATGCACGCTGGCAGGGCAGGAAAGTCAAAATCTGCCCATGTATATAGATGCCAGAAAAGCAACATGGGGAGGGTGGTGGCTGTGAGCCTGAGGAAGCTGCAGTTAGGGGAAGGAGCAGGCCTCCCTACTGGATCTCTCCTCCAGTCAGGCATGATTCCTCAGCAGTACGGGAGCTATGATGTAGACCCCCAAGACACCCGTGGCTGCACTGCAAGCAGGCATGGCCAGGCTGGGCCTCAGGAGAGGCCAGAAGATCAAGGGGTGCTCAGGTCAGATCAGCCCCCTCTGATGGGTAAGACTGCCTGCAGAGTTCAAGTCTGACAGTTCCCCTGGGTCTAAAGCCTCCCATGGGAGCAAGTCAAGCCTAGGGGGATGGTCTCCCTGGCCATGCTCTGCTGCAGACACTCAAGCACCAAACCCTCTGGACTTCACATCAGCTGGTGTGCTGCCCCTACCACTTCTCTAAGCAGCTCTCCCTACCAACTCAAGTGTCCCTGGTAGTCAAGGGGTGTCCTCCAGCCAGGATTCCAGAGGCCTGTGGCAAGAATAGGTTGCTCTCTGCCAGTTCAACTCACCCATTCCCCCAGCGTCACTGGAGGTCCCGGTGCACAGGTGTACAGTGGCCCCATACAGGATTCCCACCTTCCTCCCCCTTCAGCCCAGCTTCTGTGTCTTCTCTCCAACCACTCTCAGTTGTTTCCTCTGAAGATCTGTTAGGAGTGTGCCAGTCATCCTGGTCCCTCAGTGGCAGCTGTTCCACCTGGCTCACCTGGCTGCATCTAGCCAACTAGAGGTAGGGCATCTTGTCCCCTACCTCATGCTAAATTTTATTGACTATGTTTTCTATTCCAGGCTTAATACAGTAGATATTTTTGTTGCAGCATGGTGTAGTGGTTAATCGCACAGATTAATAACACACTCTGTGTTCAAGAATACACAAACTTTTTCCCACCGCCCAGACTGTAATGGACAATGATCACACTCCCAGGGCCAACACAAGGTTTAGGCTAGTGAGATACCTCAGGCGCAAAATCTAAGGGGGCACCAAAAAAATTCAGTAACCAAGATAATTTTAATGAAAATTATTTTAAAAAGTCAAAATTAATGTCAAAAAGCCATAAAGAATACAATAGCAAAATTTTAAGGACAGGATCCTACCCTGAACTTACACAATTCCACCTCACTTGCCTCACCTGATCCTGGCCCTGCTGGACTCTGTCTTTAAACTTTTAATATTTTGTTACCAGGGATTTTAAGCATTAATTTGGAATTTTACAATATTGCATTAAAATTTGATCTTGATTCTGAGTTTTGGTGTCCCATTGAAATTTTGCCACAGGGTCAAGGGCCTCACTTGCCTCATCCTCCTCCCAGCAGATCCCTGTGAATACCTTTTGACTTTTTTTTTTTTTTTGTGGAATGCTCACAGCCTCTTCAGTGTTTTCGATCCCAACAACCAGCACATAAACATCTTTCAATGTATGATTAATGTTAAGCATATTTCCTTAACTGAAAAAGAGGCTAAATAATCACATTGGCTAACATTTTAGCAGGTAATAACCCCATGCTTGTAAGCACTTTACATGAATTAACTCACTTAAATGCAGAGCAACTCTATGAAGTAGGTACTTTTTTTTATAGTCATAGAGAGGTTAAGTAACTTGTCCAAAGTAATACAGAGTATTACCTGGGAACTAGAATTTGAATTGAGAGAGTGTTATTAATCTGTGCAATTAACCACTACACCATACCTCAGCAAAAAATATCTACTGTATTAAGCCTGGAATAGAAGACACAATCAATAAAATTTAGCATGAGGGAAGGGGCAAGATGGCCGACTAGAGGCAGCCAGATAGACAGGGATGACTGGCACACTTCTAAAAGTCTTCAGAGGGAAGGCACATTGAAAGAACTCCAACCACATTCTCAATGGCATTTGCTTCTCTTCCTGACTTGGTTAGGACCCAATACTATAGAAGACCTTTCACACCCAACTCTTTCCTTGACAAACACTATGAGAAAATTGTAATGACCTCTGAGGACAGTTCTAATACCTCTCTGATACCATCCAGACAACAGACTCCAGAGGACATGCAATTTTCAGGAATATACATCTCTTATTTTGTCAGACCAATGGATCTCCTTGAAACATAGTCATAGATCTCGAAAATAGCAGTGACCATCTGAAGTCAATATTTCATAATGTAAAATACCCTCCAAACAACTGGATTCTAGAACACTGTTAATTGTAAACAGTGTCAGTTTTATAACTACAGTACAAAATAATAGCTAAAACTAGTCCAGTATTTAAAAAATATCTACTACTCTTACATCTCTAGTTAATAAAATACAATTGGAAATTTCGACGTTTCTTGAAATAGCAGGTAATAAACCATAAAAACAAGGTTATTAAGAACACGTCTAAAAATTTACCCCCTGTGGTATATAGTGTATCTTAACTGGAGATCATGCAAATTTCCTCAGTTTGAAAGTGAGGATGGAAAGCAAACATGGTAGCGTTGAGAAACATTGGACTGGGTGTTGGAGGAGTATATTTGTGCTAGATCAGCCTATTGAGGGCTTCTGTTTTCATCCCACTGTCCTGCACACCTCCTGTATACCATAGTTGTGCATGACTGTAAAACTATGCAAAAATCCAGAACATAAGAACCTAGTATTCTGGGTTCTTGCAAGTTATAGAACAAAAATTTTGAACGAGGTAGGAGAGAGAAGTTAGATCAGGAAATAATTATGTTTCTTTGGGGAATACAATGTTTAGTTCTTATGTGAAGGAATGTATATTTCAAGAAAGTGAATTTCGGCTTATTTTCAATTGTCTCAGGACTCCACAATGTTTTCTTGTCAATAGATACTCTGCCAGTTCACATTAAACAAACAACATGTGAAAGCCATTTATGGTTATTATGGAAGGCTCATTAGCATAAATGTTACTAAATATTTGAGATATTAACTTCTCTATATCCTTGCAAGGCAACTGCAGAGCTACCCTGCAGATCTGTAAGCTGTGCAGTGGTTTAAACTTTCATGATTTCAATTTGCTACCACCTGGGGTAAAGGGCTTTGGAACACCAAGTTCCTGAAGCTCCTTAATTTCTTGGCAAGACTTAAGTGAATTCTAGGATACTCGATGCAGTCAGTTTAGTGCTAATAGATTTTTAAAGACAAATACATTTAACATTTACACTCGATGGGCTTTTTAAAAACAAAGCAATTACTTACATGGCATTAATTATATGAGCAGCCTCCTTCTGACAATCCAAATTTTTGTCTTCCAGAGTCATTTCTGAATATCTACACATTAGGTTCTGAAAAAAAGATCAACCCTGACATATCTTAAAGGCTCCTCTTTAGGGATGAAAGGGAATAAATTACCAAGAATCTTTTCAGATTTGGGGTGCTTTTGACCATGGCAGGGAGCCTGAGAACAAAGCATGCTAGTTTTCCCTGGGTTATGTAAAATTACATGTAGCTTTTCCAAGAAGATCTTGCAGGGTCAGGCTCCTGCCTGTCTCTCCAGCTTCATCTTGCACTGCTTGCTCTCTCACTCCCTTTTGCCAATCATGGGCAGGCCTACTTTCAGCTACAAGAAGACACAAGCTTTTTCCAACCTCCCAGACTGTAGAGGACAGTATCTACACTCCCAGGGCCAGTGCAAGGTTTAGGCAAGTGAGATACCTCAGGCACAAAATCTAAGAGGGCACCAAAAAACTCAGTAGCCAAGATAAATAATTTTAATGAACATTATTGTTAAAAATCAAAATTAATGTCAAAAAACTATAAAGAATACAATAGCAAAACTTTAAAGATAGGATCCAACCCTGAACTTGCACAATTCCACCTCACTTACCTCACCCTAATCCTGGCCCTGCTGGATTCTGTCTTTAAAGTGTTAATATCTTGTTACCTGGGATTTTAAGCATTAATCTGGATTTTTAAAATATTACTTATCTTGATTATGAATTTTAGTGTCCCCTTAACTTTTGCCCCAGAGTCAAGGGCCTCACTTGCCTCATCTTGGTCCCAGCAGATCCCTGTGAATACCTTTTGACCCATTTTTTTTTTGAATGCTCAAAGCCTCTTCAATGTGTTTTTGATCCCCACAACCAGCATATGAGGCTCTTTCCAGAGGACCACCTGCAGGTTCTACTGGATCCCATTTGGCCTGCACAGAAGGAGAGCTGGAAGTATCAGGAAACCTAAGCCTGCCTCCCTCTCCTGTCTAGCCTTCCCCATGACCGCATGGGCTTCCCTGAGAGCATATGCTTGCATAAGAACCCTCCCATTTGTACCTACCTCCAAGGCACAACATAATCAGGACCTCTCTGTGCCAGCTATTCCCTGTGATTCAAACACTGTTTCTGAGGCTCTTTACATGGCTGGTTGCTTCCCATTGGCTCACTGGTAAAGAAATGTCACCTATTCCTTTGACCGCCAAAGCCCTTCCTTTCTCCCTTATTTTTACAGTATCCTGTTTGTTTATTATACTTTCTTCCCAGTGCTAGGCATATACTTATTTTATTTACATCCTTACTTTTTCTTGGTTATTGGATTCTCTCACTAGCAGTCAAGCTTCAAAAGGACAGGAAACATACCTGTTCCTTTCATTTTGGCATCCCCTGGTGTCAGCACAGTGCCCAGCACTCAACTAATAAGTACACATCATTTATCACCTTTGCTTCCTTTGGGTTTGGAACATGCCCCACTGATGAAAAGGTACCCACAGTTTTTAAAGTGGATGACCATTTTGTGGTTCCTCTTAAAGTTACGCATAAAATTACAGAGGAAACTTGCTTCAGGGACCTGTATTGTAAAACCCTGAGAAGTTTTAAAAAAAAACAAACAAAAGCCCTCTAAAGAGGGGACCATTTTCTGCTTTCTTAATACCTGAGACACAGCCTCTATGTCAAATTTCCTAATTTACAAGAAAACAAAATAAACCTAGCTAATCATTAAAAAGTATTATTGAGATATGTAATAAAGGATTGGAATTATAAATGGTCAATGATAACCCTAGATTTTAGCATCCTCTGTTAGCATATTCTTGTCCTTGCAGGGATATAGTTACAAAGTGTTCAGGTAAGATCTGTCAACAGAGCTCCAAGGGTGGATGTTGAGTTTTGGCATAAAATCAGAAACCTAACTTCTTATTTTCAGTGGCACTGGGGAATGGGAGTTCACACACACCTTATTTTGGAAAGAGATTGTCCTGACTACTATTTTTCTCAGCTTTAAAAAATTTTTATTTATTTATTTTTGAGACAGAGTCTCACTCTGTTGCCAGGCTGGAGTGCAGCGGCGCAATCTCGGCTCACTGCAACCTCCACCTCCTGGGTTCGAGTGATCCTCCTGCCTCAGCCTCCTGAGTAGCTGGGACTAAAGACACGCACCACCACGCCCAGCTAATTTTTTTTGTACTTTTAGTAGAGACGGGGTTTCACTATGTTGGCCAGGATGGTCTCGATCTCTTGACCTCGTGATCCATCCGCCTCGGCCTCTCAGCTTCTTTTTGGCCTTTTTCCTCCTTTCTGGTTGATTCTTACTGAATCATATCCCCACTGCATATCTTCAAGTCATGGAATGTGTATACAAATGCTCATACCTGTTTCCCAGAATCCCTTTCATTTTAAATACCTGTAGCTGCTCATCAAGGTAAGGGATTTTTAAAATTTCGATAGCAGATGGTCTTAATGAAGGATTCTTGTTCAACATGCTGTAATGTTTAAACAGAAAATTATTTTTCAGGTAAACTAAAATATAAGTACAACTTTAAATTATTTCTGTGACAACATGTTTATTTCTATACCTTTCCATGATGGCATTTAGTTCTTTTGGATATCTCTCAGGGAGAGAAGGTGTGTCACCTTCAACAATTTTTAAAACAATGGATAAGAAATTGGAGCCAGCGAATGCATGATTCATGCAGCACATCTCATACAAAATGCATGCCAGTGACCTGAAGACAAAGTCAAAGAATTTAAATAAGGAACAAATATCCTATTTTAAATTTTTTCATCATACAAAACCTCAGATGTGTTGGGGCATTGGCTGTGAGGCACAAACATACAATCAGTAGTTGACTTAAAACTGCAGTTTCATACAGTTTTTTTCCATTTAAATACATGTTTACCAAAAAAAAAACCAAAAAAGTGAAAGAATAAAGCACAAAAGTAAGTCTGAATGACAGCTTTTTTATCAAAGAATAAGCAGATCAAGAGTTAACAGTATGCCTGCACATAGTAAGAATTCTAAGTATTTGATTAATGTAAGGATTTTTTGAATTAGCTTTTAATACATAAAATGCAGCTGAATATTATCTTCCTAAGGCAGTTTGATAATTTTATATATGCAAAATATAATTTTAATTTAGCAGCCTAACCTTCCCTCTAATGTGTATCCAAGCATTTTGAAAAGGAAACTGGCATTATTTATTATTCTCTGAATATAATCCATTTGCAAGTGGAGTGGAAGAGCAGCTACTTGAAGCCCACATTAAAATGTATAATTCTCCCATGGTGAGTATGAAACAGAATATTAAAATTCTAGATAAGTCCAACACTGATTTGGATTAACCATGCAAATCAATAACCTCTAAACCAGCCGGAAAATATTTTAAATAACTCTACATCATTAAAAAAAAAACTGAAAGGGAAATTCCTGTCTGAGCTTAGTATTAAGAAATAATGGCACTTCTCCTGAATAATGAATTATTTTTATCTTATGGACATTATGAATTATGTAACTGTCCAGGTTTTCCTTTTCATGTTAGTCACTTGAAAGATAAGAAATAAACTTGTGATTGACCTTGTGTAAGTTACATTTTATGTAACTTTTAACAATGTCCTTAATACAACAAAGGATAGACAGAAATAAATACATGAATAATACCATTGAACTATTTTGTGGGTACTCATGAAACTGTGCATTTGTAAGAGAATTTTGGATATGTACACTGAGAATATTTCTGTTCCAGTAAATAATAACACTAAATATTTCCAACTGAGCTGACTGGTACTTTACATTTTACAAAGCACTGACAATATCTCAACAATCCCTTATAACTTCCCAGTGAAATAGAGCCCGTGTAATATTTTTCCCATTTTTATAGATTGAAAATTGGCTCAGAAAAGTTAAATGACTTGGCCAAGGTCACATAGGTAGTAAATGGTAGAACTGACTCTTGAATTAAGGCATTTATCTTTCCAAATCCTAGACTGTTTCCATTAAAGAATGCTAGAAAGAAGAGGGAGATGTTAGAAGAAAGTGCATGAAATCAACTAGAATACCAATATCAATGTAAATATTAAAAATGATGAAAATTATTTGAAAATCAATAAATTTTGCATCTATCTGCAAGACTATTAAATGGCATCTGGTTAGATTTCTATACCCAGAAAAAACAGTCCTTCAAATTAAGAGGAAATAAAGATGTTTTTAGCCAAGCAAAAACAGAGATTTCATTACCAGCAGGAAAGCATTTCTTAAATCCTAGACATAAATTTTTCTAACAGAAGAAAAATGATCCAGACAAAAACAATGAGTACAAGAAGAAATAAAGAGCACCAAAAAATAAGCATAAATGAATATTAACTCTACAAAATAAAATTAACAATATCTTGTGGTGTTTAAAAATTATGTAGAATAAAAATTCATGACAAAAATAAGGCAAATGACACAAGAGGGAAAAGACTCCAATTAAAAAACTAAATTATCAGACTGGAAAAAAGGTATATTCTGCTCACAAAACAAACTTTAAATATAGGAATACAGAGAGGTTGATAGAAAAACCATACAAACACCAAAATGGCAAGAAACACTACTAAGATTAAGATGGTGGATTAATAAAACAAACCACCAGGAATATAAAACAATTCTAAATCCATATACACCCAATAATGTGTGCGTGTGTGCATGTGCATCATGTGCATGTGTGTGTGTATGAAGCAAGAACTGACAGAATTAAAAAAATCAATAAAGATAGAAAAAATCTACACGATGACAAAATGGACATAATTGGCAAGTTGATGTAAATGCAACCAACAATAACAGAATTCAATTTTTTTTCAAGGGCACATGGAACATTTACCAAAATTGACAATATACAGGGCCATAAAGCAAGCCTCAACAGATTTTAAGGACTGAAATCTTCAAAGTCAGACCACAGTAAAATTGTGCTAGACATGAATAACAGAGTGACAGAGAAAAAGAGATAATTGAAAAACTATAAAATTGCCAACTGCTTGAAAACTAAGAAATACACATCTAAATAATCCTTAGGTCAAACAAGAAATTAGAAAACACTTTTAATGGAATGCTAATAAAGATACCAAATATCAACACATTGAATGCAGTTAAGGTGCTTACAGTAAAATTAAAAGTATTAAATGCATATATTACAAAAAAACTTAATATCTACCGTATAAGTCAATTTGAGAAGTTAAAAAAACAGCAAATCACACCAAAGAAAGTTTAAGGAAATAAATTTTAAAAGAGAAGAAATTAATGAAATAGAAATAAACAATAGAAACAAAATCAGTGAAGACTAATACATTTAATAGATTTCTAGCAAGGCTGATCAAGAAAATCAGAAAAAAACACAGATTAACGATAACAAATAGAAAAAAGTGCAACACTGTAGATTCCACAGATATTAGAAAGTATTAAGATGACATTATAAACATGTTTTTTCCAATAAATTTGATAATATGAAGTTAACAGTCTTTTAAGAACACAACTTACGACACAAGAAGAAAAAGATAATCTGAATAGTTTTTATCTATTAAACAGAGATAATTTCTTATTTAAGATAATAAAACTCAAAGCAGAATGACCATTTGACCCAGCAATCCCATTACTGGGTATATATACCCAAAGGAATACAAATCGTTCTACCATAAAGACACATGCATGCATATGTTCATTGTAGCACTATTCACAATAGCAAAGACATGGAATCAACCTCAACGCCCATCAACGGTAGACTGGATAAAGAAAATAAACTGTGGAATATTATGCAGCCATAAAAAAGAATGAGATCATGTCCTTTGCAGCAACATGGATCAACCTGGAGGCAAACTAACAGAGGAACAGAAAACCAAATACTGCATTTTCTCACTTATAAGTGGGAGCTAAACATTGACTACACATGAATGCAAAGAAGGGAACAACAAACACTGGGGCCTACTTGAGGGTAGAGGGAGAGGAGGAGGTTGAGGAACTCAAAAATAAAAATAAAGAAGGCGGTTGCTGTAACAAACTATAAGCAAACAAATAAATAAAGGTTTAAACACAAAAAATATAGTTAACAATAATTTATTATATATTTCAAAATAGTTAGAAGACTTGGAATGTTCCCAACACAAAGAAATGATAAATGTTTGAGGCAATGAATATCTCAATAACCTAGATTTGATCATTATGCATTGTAAGCTTGTATCAATATATCACATGTGCCCCATAAATATGTACGACTATTATGTATGCATAAAATTTATTTTTAATGAAAAAAAACTACCTATTTTGTACTATGCTTAACACCTAGGTAATGACATAATCTGTACACCAAGCCCTTGTGACATATTATATATATATATATATATCTGTAACAAACCTGCACATGTACCCCTGAACCTAAAATAAAAGTTAAAAATAATAATAACTGAGATAGACAACAGAAGTATCCCCTGACCCTCTATCTCAAAAGTAAATATTATAAAGCAATCCTTATAAGGACCCTGTATTTGTTTGGCTTTGTTTTTGCCTACCAATGTATTTTCAGCACAACAACAGAACAGTGGCTACCTTTATCTTCTCAATATAGATATTTGTTGAATACAGAAAAATAAAATAATAAAAAGCTCTTGCAAAGAAAAACTCCAGGACCAGATGGCTTTACTGATAAATTCTTCCAAATATTTAAGAAATAAATAACAATAATCTTACTCAACCTCTTCATTTCGTAAGACCAGGACAAGTTTGATACTAAAATATAACAAGGATATTATGGGAAAGGAAAATTACGAGCAAATGTTTTCATGAACGTTGATTCAAATAACCCAAATTTACACACACATATTAGCAAATAGAATACGACATATTAAAAAGATAATACATCATGACCATGTAGATTTTATTTCAGAAATACAGAGTTGACTTAATATATGAAAATAAATCAATCAAAATATATCTCATTATAGAAAAAAGTTGAAAAATTGTATCACCATCTCAACTGATGCAAAAAAAGCATTCTATAAAATTCAAAATTTATTATATTTTTAAAAAGAAGAAAACTCCTAGCACACCAGATATAGGAGGGAACTTCCTTAATCTGATTTTTTGAAGCTTAAAAATATATAGTAAACATTATGCTTATTGGTGAAATATTGAAAGTTTATTATTTTCTTCTGAGATTAGGAACAAAATAAGAATGCCTACTATCATCACTTCTATTCAACATTGTAATGAAGGTGCTTCCCAAAGCAATAATGCCAGAAAAAGTAAATTTTTAAAAAAATCTATAAAGATTAGTAAAGAAAACATTAGACTGTCATTAATCATGTCAACATGATTGTGTACAGAAAAAAATCCAAAGACCTGACAAACTGTTAGAATTAACGAGGGAATTACGCAAGACTGCTGAATACAAAGCCCTTTATTTCTATAAACTTGCACAAAAACACACTTAAAGAGGCCCATGAAATACCAACCAAAATCCTAGCAGACATTTTGGCAGGAACTGAAAAGCAGATTCTAAAATTTATATGGAAATACAAAGGAACCTGAATAGCCACGGCAATTAAACAAGAACTAATTTGGAAGTTTTGTATGACCAAATATCAAGATTTATTATAAAGTTATATAGCTTATATTATAAAGTTATATTACCTATGAAAGTGTGGTATTGGCAAAGAAGAAAAAATATACACCAATGCAATCAAATAGAGGGCTCAAAAACAGATTCACACATATTTAATCACTTGATTAATGCAAAAATAAACCACTGCATGGTAGAGGAAAATATGGCTTTTTCAACAAATTATGCTGGGCCAATTGAATATTCATATAGAAAAAAACGTACTTGGATTCCTGTCTCATACCATATAGTCACATACACACACAGATCAATTATAGATAGATGTTACTGTGAAAGACAGAATGAAATTGAGTCAGCTTTAAAAGAAAACAGGAGAAGAAAACTGAGTTTTAAAAGAAAACAAGAGAATATCTTCATGATCTTGGAGTAGGCAAAGATTTCTTAAGACATAAAAGGCACTAATGATAAAGTTATGAACTTATAAAATGAACTTCATTAAAATTACAAACTTCTACTCATAAAAAGACACCATTAGGAGAGTGAAAAGGAAGACACATAGTGTAAGATATTTGCAATTCAAATATTCATCAGACTACCAAAATATGGATAAAATTAATTAAAACTTCTATAAAGCAATAAGAAAAATGAGAGAATCCAATAGAAAAATGGGCAAAAGACTTGAACGGACGCTAAATGGCCAAAAGTCATGAGAAGACGCTCAACATTTTTAGTCATCAGAAAAGTGCGAATTACAACCACTGTGTACTACCACTACATGCTACACACTCATCAGAATGGCTAAAAAGAAAAAGACAGACAATACCAAGTCAGTACTTGTTATACTATGAAAAAAAAAGTTTCCTTAGGAAAACAAGAGGGGCTAAATATCACTAAAAATATATAATCATCAAGTTGAACCAAATACTTTTACTAATGTAGAATGTTTATGTTATGAATTGCCACAATATACTTGGTTATTTCCCCACAGAAGAATCTATAATTCAAACTTCAAGAATGTCTTCTTACACAGAATAGTAGAGTTACAAGAGACTATAAAGATTTGCTCATTTCAAACTCTGGTTTTATCAGTGAGAAAACCAAAGCTCAGAGAGAGGAAGTAATTTGCCCAGAAAGGTACCATGTCAGATCAGCTCATGTTGGTATTGGTATTAGTTCTCATCCAATACTTTTTAAAATTTCTCTTTTAAAAAGTTACATTGATCACATTCTGTTATGTAGCCTAACACACACATAATAATCTGAAAACTGAAAAAAAGAAATCAAATTTGCAAGTCCAAGTAACAGAAGGCTAGCAATCACTCAGCACCTACACACTCTGTTCTGATGATTTATGCTCACCCCACATAGGCTTAGGGTCTCCTTGAGGACAAGATTAGAAACAGAACAAGCTAGACAACCTCTCCTGGCCTGGGCATATCGGAAGGGCTGTAACAACAACCCTTGGGAGCAACAACCCCTGATCCAGAACATTTTAAAGTGTCTTGGAAGCAGCTATTAGATTGTCTCCATCAATAACACAAATGGTAACAACAATAATGATAATTATAATAATAATAATGAAAATGATAGCTGGAATGTTAATAGTGTTTACTATGAGCCAGGCCCTCTTCTATGTTCCTTTCATATTTTAACTCATTAACTTACACTCACAACAATCCTAATGAGGTAGGAACTATTATTATTCCCATTTTTCAGATGAGAAAACCATAAGATTAGGTAAATTGTTCAAGGTTCCATACTGAGTAGGTCATAAAGCTGGGATTGTAGCCCAGGCTATCTGGCTCTAGAGACACAGACTCTCTATGCTATCCTGCCTCTGGATCTTGCACCAATCAGAGCCTTTTGGATCACGAAAGTCTCTCTTGAGTTGGAAATCAGGGCTAGCCCTGACAGAGCCTTTTAAGCAGGGGCTGATTTCCCAAGGTAATTTCAGGTTCTATATAGAACCTTAATTCACTTTTAAAAATCACTGGGGCCTTAGACAACAAGCTATGCAGGGCGTCACACCACGGCAAATATAGGGCACACAGACTATGAGACCTTCTATGGAAAAAGGAAGGCAGACAAGTTTGGCTTTTGTCTTTTCATTGCTTGGAAGGAAAGAGGGCTTAGTGGTCTATTAACAGTGAATTGATCACCTTTCTGGTTTGATGGAGATATAACTCTACTTTGATGAATTTATTAAGGTTATAAAAAGATGTGGTAGGCCAGGCACAGTGGCTCACACCTGTAATCTCAGTGACTTGGGAGGCTATGGTGGGACAATGGTTGAGGCCAGGAGTTTAAGACCAGCCTGGGCAACATAGCAAGACTGCATCTCTACAAAAAATAAAAATATATTAACTGGGCATGGTGGCCCACACCTGTATTCCTAGCTACTCCAGAGGCTGGAGTGGGAGGATCACTTGAGCTCAGGAGTTTGAGGTTACAGTGAGCTATGATTGTACAACTGCACTCCAGCCTAGGCAACAGAGTGAGACCATCTCTAAAAATAAATAAAAATAAAAAAGATATGCAATTATCTGGCTAAAGAAACTATGGAACAATTAGATTCATAGCCTAACTTAGTAATCAATTAATTCTCATATAAGACTACAGTACTCTCTGTTTTGGAAATCCTCTCAGCTACACTGTAGTATGCAGTGCAATTACCTGTTTCACTTTGATGACTAGTATTTGCTTGCACTCTAGCACGTAGAGAAGACTTCATTTATCAGCCAGTAACTTGTGGAAACGGACCTGCTATAGTGGTCCCAGTGCACCTACCTGGAATGGGCGCCAGTAACTGAAACTTGGACAATCTGATTACAGAAACTACCTAGATATTCAAAGGTAAAAGATGTTTGGTTACCTACCATATCTCAGAACCACTGTCAGTGTTTCCCAAACTTTAACATACATGCAAATCACTTAGAGGTTTTGTTAAATACATACGGTAGGTAACCAAAATACATATGGTGACTATATTTCTATGTACCAGTGTTTCTTTTTTCTAGTTTCCAACCAGACATTTCCATATAGGAATCATCTAAAACTCTTCACTTCCATCCTTTTAAAATAATTTTCCCTTATTTGACTCCCAGGTCTTAAATCTGCTGATACAAAAGCAGATTGGGGGTGGGGGAGAGCTGAAATAAACAAGTGAGATGTGTATTTTACTTAGAAGTCTACAATTTGCATTTCTTTCTTTTTCCAAAATACAGACAACTGTGAAGAGATAAGCAAATAAATCCCTGAGGGAGTATGAATACAAGCAATGAAAAAGAAGGCTGGGATCAGGTGTCTGTGAAGCAAATTACACCTGAACTCCATAAACTTGCCATCTGTCCAAATTGAACAACTTGTCCGGAACTACTGAGAAAATTTCTGAAGCACAGGTTGATTGATAATAAATCACAAATGTAACTCAGACTTTGCTTGTCTTAAGGTAACTAAATTTACCCTTCAAAATCTGCCAGACTCTGCAAACAGATGCCTGCCCCAGAGCAATGCATGACTCTAGTTGGTTAGGAAGTTTTGTTGATCTTCTAGATAATGTTTTATTTTGATGTAATTGAAGAGCATCCTGATATATTCATCTAGAAAAGAGGAATCAGTTCAATCTATGGAAACAGTAATGGAAATGTAATAAAAGAGTAGTGGGTTTTGCTTTAGTGTGTATCACCCTAAATGAAAGTCTTTACTTAGGTAGAATTGAGTATTAACCTAAATTCAGTCTAAATATAATGAAATGAAAATAAATATAATGAAAAACATTGGGCTGCTTGAAGTAATAGTACTTAAGGAACAATATTATATAGCAATTTTTTATGAATGACCTACCTTATCTCAAAACCTCTATCAGTGTTTCCCAAACTTTAACATATATGTAAATCACTTAGGGGTTTTGTTAAAATGCTGATTCCGAGCATTTGGGGGGAAACAGTAGATACAGTGGAAGCATAGTTTTTAGATCTTTCTTGAATCCACATATGAAAACAGAGCAGCTACAGAACAAAACTCAAAACTCATGAATAATATTTATTATAATTTAATAATAATTTATTATAAAGCCAAGTTATAAGGTGTCCCCTTGAACCTTGCTGTGCAAGTGAAGGAACACAAACCACACAGCTACTTGACTGGCATAGTATCAGCATCTGTGTGAGAAGAAGCAGAGGGAAGCAATGGAGTGATCAAGGGACATGAGAACAGAAGAACCTCAAACTATCTAAAGTGGACCAATCTAAGCATAGCAATTAAACCCAGCAGGGGTTCTGCCCAATCCAAAAGCAGGGTGAATGCAAGAAATCCCAAGATAAGGCTTAAAGCAGCTGGAGCAAAATAGTTCAGGGCTGTCCAAAAGAATTTATTGAACTCATAGAAATGTTCTTATTTCTACAAACAATAGCCACCAGCCACATTTGGCTTTTGAGCACTGAAAATGTGGCTAGTGTGACTGATGAGCTGAATTTTTTAAAGAATATTTAAAAAGAAAAGTGAACTCATTTCTCTTATCATATTCTAATATACTGTCACATTTTAGGGAATACGACCCATAAAATTATTGACAAAACAAGGTTTGGGTGAATTTTCTCCTGTTCATACCAGCTCTTTCTAATTACTTTCCTCCACAACTGAGCTTTACAATGTTTCAAGGAAGATTATCAAAGCTCTCTCCTCTGTAGTGGTCCCATGTCCTCCATACCATAAGAATGTGGCTAATGGAGGAAAAAGATCAAAACCAGTGAGTGAGGAGAACAAGGAGACCACAGGGTGGCAGAAGAGAAAAACTGGCTAAAAGTCAAAGCTTCTTTGCATCTTTAGCTATTCTTAAGGTCACAGTTATAGATTTTATGCAAACCATACAGCTTAGGAAAGGATGTTTGGAGTTGGGGTAGGGAGGTAGGTTGGCAATGGAAACAATGATCAAAGCATCCTTACATAACCAACTGTTATTTACTCAGCCACTCTATTAAGACCGAATATGGCAACAGCCGACACTGCTTATGGGGCATGAACTGCTTCACATTTTGACTGAATGGCTGTGTTCCAACTGCTTTAATAATTTTATATGATCTCCAGAGGCTCTTTTATGATGGACAGAACATCAAAAGTAGTAGAATGTGCCAGGTTAATAGAAGACCTACCTATCTCCCTCCTTTAGTCTCCACCAATCTTCTCCCTACTGTCAGTTTTCTATAGCCCAGCTGGCATCATAATAAGACTGACTCCCCTGGTAGATTGATTGCTCTTTGCGAATATTCTTTTTCCCTTCCCCCACAGGGGGAATTGGCATAGGACTTGCTTCAGCCAGTGGAATATGGGTGGATATGAAGTGTGTCACAACTAACTGAGTGGAGGATCTAAAGGCAGACACATGCTCTTTCTCTCTAGCACTGTATTGTCCATGTTTTTCAGAGCATAACCTGTGTCCTGGAACTGGGAAAACTATGGATCAGAGCAGGACTGCAACTGGAGCAGAAACTCAGTTAATCTGTAGTCCTCAGGTAAGGCAAAGAATCAATATATGAAGTACCTGAGATTTTTTGGAGTTCTTTGTTACCGCAGCAAAGCTGACTGATACATCATTCCTCTGCTTAACAGCCTTTAGCAGATTCTCATACTCCAGAAGATGAAAGTACAAGCTTCTTTTCATAATTACATGGGTCATTCACCATCTGACCCCTGCCCGCCCTTCAGTCAAATGTACCAACACTCCCCTCCTTGCCACATACACACTTTGTCCTACAGCTAATCAGAAGAACCTGAGCTTTCTCATGCTTCCATGTCCTTTCATACCATTTCTCAGAGTCTTTCAGTAGTCAGAGAAGGTCCAAGTCATTTGTAACTATTTTTAAATTCCCAGTATATATTTTAAATGAACAAATAAATACCCCAATAAAAGTTTCAAAATTGGTGATATATCTGAAATTTTGGCATTAAATAAACACCTTTAACATATACCACCTCATTTGGAAATAATTTTAAACACATACATTTGAGGCCCTTCATGAATGAGAAGGCCCTGGCCAAATGGTTCTTCTGGCCAGCCACTTTCTTTCCCTGCACAGTTCCCTCCCTCTTCTCCCAGTGGGCACCCCTCACTTTTGGTCATTGACATTGGGTCTTTTTACCTGAAATACATTTGCCAAACTCTTCTCCATTTTTCCCCATCCTGAGCAGGAATCATGCACTCTCTAAGACTGTAGCTGATGCTCTCTACCCCTATCCCCAGCTGTCAATCACTCTCTGCTTTATACATCAGAATATGTATTGCACTATAACAGTATACAGCAGTTTGTTTATATGTTTATCATTCCTTTGAGGACAGAAACCTTCATGTCTTCACGTCTCTTCCCTTCTGCAAATACCACCCTAGGGGCAAGAAGGAGTAAGGCTAAAGGTATGAGCTATTCTGGTACACTGCCTTTCTGAGGTAGGAGGAGAAGCCCTAATTTACAAATTTCCATGGTATAAATACCATGGTTGTTTTCAAGTTACTAATGTGACATCAGTGAACATTGACTTGAGAAGAAATGTGGATAATTGGGTCTTATGAGCTGGTATGAGCTCCAGCATACCACTGAATCATGGGAATGATAGAAAGATAAGGCTGGAGTCAGATGGTCCAGTGCTAGGGGTGACGTTGAGGTGGGGGTTGGGAGAAAGAAGGCAAAGTCAGGAGGAATGAAAGAAGAGTTCTGAGGCACATGGAAAAGTTGCTGGTCTGGAAGTTCTCAGCTGTGGTCCAGGTTCTTGGGTTCTACCCATCAAACAGACCAGCAAGTAGAGTGCCAGATTGCTTTTCTGGCACAAGCCACTTCTCTTAAGCAATTTATTGAGCCTTTTGACATAAAGAAAACAAACACTGCCAGATTGTCATACGGAGGCCTAGATTAGAGGCTACTTCTCAACTCCTGCTTGCCGTTCTCCTGATGAAGTCCTGCTCCAGTCACCACTGCTGCATAAAAAACCACCCCAAACCTTAGTACCTTAAAACAACAATAATCAGTCATTTTGATCATGAATCTTTTTGGTCAGAGATTGACAGGGAAGCCTTGAACCTGCTCCCCACAGCATCTGCTGGTGATGCTCAACTGAGGCTTAAGGATCCACTTCCAAAATGGCTCACGCACATCACTGGCCAACTGATGCTGGCTATCAGCTGGAAGCTCAATGGGAGTAAAGACCAAAGGCCTTGGTTCCTCTCAATGTGGCCCTCTCCATGTTGGTCTCTCAATGTGCCACTCAGGCTTCCTCACAACAGGGTAGTTGGGTTCCAAGAACAAGAATTTCAAGAGAACCAAGCAAAATCTATATTGCTTTTATTACCTAGATTCAGAAGTCACATAGCATCAATTTTGCCATAATCACAGGCTTACCCAAATTAAAGGTGAGGGAACACAGACCCCACCTCTCAGTAAGAGTGTGTCAACATCACATTATAAAAAGAACATGTGAGAAAAGAACATGTGAGAAGTGATATGTTATGATGGCCATTTTTGGAAAATACAATCTGCCACATGCCCCTATGGATCATGGGACATTTTACCTTATGCTCCTATCCAAAGGGGTCTCCTTCATCAGAAACCCAGGCCCTGCCCAGGCTCTCATGGCCACACTCTTTCCTCGCCCCTGATGCTCCTCGCTACAAAGTGCCCAATCCTGGAATTTGAAAGATTCAATCCCAATTTGACTTCCTATAGAAAGACTAGTCTCAACTAGGGATTCCAAGACTTAAAACAAATTTAAAAAGCAATGTAAACAATGAAGTGTGGTGATAAGATTTAATACTTGCCAAATAAATTTGCGTGTTTGAAATAAGAACTTGTTAACACAACTAAATTTTTCTTTAGTAAGAGGAATGAAAGAAAATCCTGAACTAACCCTCCCTTCTCCTGCTCTCCCACAGAATTAACAAAACAGGAGTATATGAATTTGCCACATCATTTATTAATGAGTTAAATCTGTTTGGTCTTCTATAACCTTCTTATACTTATATATTAATATCTTTTTCTAGATTCAGGAAGTTCTCTGTTACTATTCCTTTTAATAAACTTCTTACTCCTATTTGTTTCTCCACTTCCTCTTTAAGGCCAATAACTCTTAGACTTGCCTTTTGAGGCTACTTTCCAGATCTTGGAGGTGTGCTCCATTCTTTTTTTTTTTTTTTTCTTTTTTCTCTTATCTCCTCTGACTGTGTATTTTCCAATATCCTGTCTTCGAGCTTACTAATTCTTTCTTCTACTTGATCAATTCTGCTATTAAGAGACTCTGATGCATTCTCCAGTCAATTGGATTTCTCAAGTCCAGAACTTCTGCTTGATTCTTTTTAATTATTTCACTCTCTTTGTTAAATTTATCTGATATAAATCTGAATTCCTTCTCTGTGTTATCTTGAATTTTGTTGAGTTTCTTCAAAACAGCTATTATGAATTCTCTGTCTGAAAGGTTGCATTTCTCTGTTTCTCCAGGATTGGTCCCTAGTGCCTTATTTAGTTTGTTAGGTAAAGTCATGTTTTCCTGGTTGGTCTTGACACTTGTGAATGTTCATCAGTGCCTGGGCATTGAAGAGTTAGGTATTTATTGTAGTATTCACCATCTGGGCTTGTTTGTACCCATCCTCCTTGGGAAGGCTTTCCAGGTATTTGAAAATACTTGGGTGTTGTGATCTAAGCTACATCTGCATTGGGGCCACCCCAAGCCCAGTAACACTGTAGTTCTTACAGACTTGTAGAGGTACCACCTTGGTGGTCTTAGATAACATGCAGAATAATTCTTTGGATTACAAGGCAAAGACTCTTGTTCTCTTCCCTTACTTTCTCCCAAACAAATGGGGTCTCTGTATTAAGTTGCCTGGAACTGGGGGTGGGGTGACACAAGCACTCCTTTGGTCACCACTACTGGGACTGTAGTGGCACCAGGTCTCGTCCAAGGCCCCCATAACTACTTCCTATTACCTATGTTCACTCAAGGCCCTGGAGCTCTACAAGCAGCAGATGATGAAGCCAGCCAGGTTTGTGTCCTTCCCTTGAGAGGTGTGAGTTTCCTAGGTCCTGGGCAGGTCCAGAGATGCTCTCCCAGAGCCAGGGACTAGAGTTAAAAACCTTAGAAATCTGCATGGTGTTATATTCTACTGTGGCTGTGCTGGCACTCAAGTCACATGACACAGTCCTTCCCACTCTTTCCTCCCCTTCCTATGTGCAGAGGAGCTTCACCCCATGGCCACCACCACTACAGGCCTACAGGGAACATTCCCAGGCTACCACTGATGCTCAATTAAGGCCTAAGGACTCTTCCTTCAGCTTGTGGTGAATACCACCAGGCCTGGAACTCACCCCTCAGGGCAGTGGGTTCCCCTCTGGCCCAGGGAAGGTCCAGCAATGCTATCCAAGAGCTAAGACATGAAATCAGGGACTCCAAGATCTCACTTGGTCCTCTACACCACTGTGGCTGAGCTGGTACCTGGTTTTTGGTTCTTATGAAGGTGGTTCCTTTGTGTAGACAGTTGTAAAACTTGGTCTTCCTCAAAGGATAAATGCTGGAGGAGAAGGATACCACATTTTCCATGATGTGATTATTATGAATTGCATGCCTATATCAAAATATTTCATGTACCCCATAAATATATACATCTACTGTGTACCCACAAGAATTAAAAATTTAAATTTTTTTAAAACCTGGTGTTCCTGGGGAGGGGCATGATCAGTGGGGCCCTTATTCAGCCATCTTGCACTGCCCCTCCTCCATCAATATCAATTTAACAAGGATTTATTAGCTATGTTATTAACCCTTTTAAAATTCATCAGGCCAAATTAGTACTATCTGCAGAGTTTGTATCAACCATTTCATGCTAGTCATTGAAAAAAATATATTAATGTTCAAATATACTTCACCTGACTGAAATGTTTTCTCACCTAAGCTTCCATTGGATGAAAATACTGACACCAGTGCTTATTCCCTAGGAAAGCACTCCCTGGTCAATAGCTTTCTTCTGAACCCACATAAGAACTTCCCAGGCCATGGGCAAGTGAAAAAAATTAATTCTTTTGCTCCAGAGCTTTCTTCACCAGGAGGGAGCTGATGAAGCTGCTGGCTGCCAGCTACTAGATGGCCTCATTTTAGTTACAGGAAATGCTGGCAAGTTGGACTGTATTTCTCAAAAAAATAGGCTGTTGTCCCCATCCCTTCCCTGTCCACCCTGGAAATGTTCTTCCATGAGGATACTTTCTTGGTCCTGGCAGGTCAGGCAGGTGCTGGTTCTTCTCTGTTTTCTTCTACTCACAGCTAATCCTTGCATGACACTTCTGCCCCAAGATCATGAAAGCCTGAGTCCAATGTTGGGCATGAACTAGATTCCTTCTCTGTCCCCCACCCAACCAACCTCCACACCAAATTTCTGAGAAAGACCCTGAGAGCTTCACAGTACACTCTAGATGTTGCCACTATTCCCACCACTGTTCCCTTTACTTATATCACCCAAAGAATATGGGGGCTACAAGATCAAAGAGCCATCTGGTTGGGTTCTCACAACAAAGTAAATAAGACCAACAGTGAAATATTGTTTTCTTTCTGTCTAATTGCAGTACCATTATTCAAATAATATTGTCCTTTATTTGTTTCTCCTACCAAAATAACATACTCTAAATATTCATAGTTTAAATCAATTTAATGAGCTGGCCTAGGAACCCAACTCATATTTGTATTTCTCCTGTGGGTATAAGAGTATTCAACAATTGCTTATACAAATCAGCTGTGATCAAAGCATTGTTCTCAGTAAACCTAATTATCCTAACTTTGCAAATAACTTTATAAACTTTTGGAACCTAACCCACTTTTAGGAGAAGGACTTCCTGTACTGAATGCTATAAATAAATGAAGCCAGAAAAGTTTAACAGATTGCAGAATGAAGATAATGTTACATATGGGCAAACATTACAGATGAAAACATAACTAGTATTAGGCCAATTCTCCTTTAAGCAAATTCTCCTTTAAGCATTATAAATATAATATGTACAGCTATTAGTGCTAAAACAAAACACCTGTCAATTATTCATAAGTGTTTCTAATCCTAAAAAAAAATTCCACAATAAACAGATGCTACACACTGAGATTCAGAGACAGGTTCTCAACCTCATTCAATCTAATTTTTCTCAGAGTGTCTACTAAAGATTACTCATCACACGTATGTATCTGACACTATAATTAATAGTTCTCTCTTATTATTTCCATTTTAGGTTTGGCAATAGAAATTTCATTACCAGATAAGCCCACTTTGATTCTGATACAACCAAGGTAATTACTAAATCCATAATAAGGTGGTTATTTAGGGTCAGGATGATGATGAATCCTAAGCTTGTACTTGCTGAAAAGTTAATCTCTGCAAGGAGAGCTAACCTAATGCTCAGAGAAACACATTAAAATCCTTCTGCTTTGTATATTTTGGAGGTTTTGGCTGTTTTTTTTTTCTTGAGTCAGACAGTTTTGTAATCCTAAAGTATAGCAATACTATCTGATATCCCATAATACTCCATGTAATAGTAGGAGCAATTTTTTAAAAAGAAATAACACTGACATAACTGAGACAAATACTCTATGCTTTCCTTTCCTCTCTGTGGGTTCTGTTGCTTTTGTTTTCTAGGAGATATTCATCTGATCTGGAAAGCAGATATAGCTGCCTGTCAAAAGGAGCCAGGTTTGTTACATATAATTCCAAAAACTTAAATGATAGGCTTTGTAAATTAATTTACTCCTAATTCAGATGGCATAACATAACATCTTCTTGAGATACCATATAACCTTAAACTATAAAGATATATATTTGAATCTATTTTAAAATGTCCATAATATTAATTTTTAAAATTAAATGTAAAGAGATATATAGGTATATAATTGAAATTCGATCTGAAGCAAAGCCCAAAATTGATTTCTCAAACTAGAGAAAGGGACTCCAAAAGAAGCAAGATTTCTCTTGATAGGTAGGAATCCTATCACTTTTGCTTTATACCTAAGGAATGTTACACAGTCTTGGGCAAATAGTAGATGTTCAATGAAGCAAAATTTAAAGGAACTCATTAGTTATTCCTCTATACATACCTTTGTGATGTTTGGTTTTATTTGGTTTGGGTTTTCTTTTTCTTTTGGATGTGGTAGTTAAGGGGGTTAGAAGGAAAGAAGACAGAAGATGATAGGTGAATTGGAAAAGACCTCCAGGGCAGAAGTAAGCCAATGATGAAAAAAACACGTGAATAATTTAGAAATGAACAATTGCAAGACTGAATTGAAAGGACGGGATTCATGGGGAATTGCCATACCCAGACCTAATCTTGACAATGTTCTCTCCCATTTGGTAGGCACGAGAACAAGGAACAGATAATGACCCTTGTGAAAATCCTAAGCAATATCCCCTGTTGTGATTCACTTTTCCCTAACCAGAGAAAATGTAATTTTCTACTTTGTCTTCTTTAGAAGAGTGAAGTAAGCACATCTTTTACACTGCTTGTCTTTGAAAGCTCAGAACTATTTATGTTGATTTGCATACAGTAATTATTTACTTAATTAACAAGCCCTCAGCTAGATTGTTCTTTCAACCCTCAACAAGCAGAAAAGTATATAATAAGATTCCTCTTCTAAGGAAAAGAAATAGGATCTATTGCTTACACTAGAACATACTGAATACAATTTTCCACATGGCTTCTGCAGTGAGATTTCACTTAGTTCCATAACAAGGAAGGAGAAATTCCTTTAATATAAGAGCTCAGAGAAACTGAGACATCTCAGATGCATCTGTCACTGAAAATCCAGAAATTTTAAAATTTAGTTTATCCTAGTCTGGGCGCGGTGGCTCACACCTGTAATCCCAGCACTTTGGGAGGCTGAGGCAGGCAGATCATGAGGTCAGGAGATTGAGACCATTCCGGCTAACACAGTGAAACCCGTCCCTACTAAAAATACAAAAAATTAGCCAGGCGTGGTGGTGGGAGCCTGTAGTCCCAGCTACTAGGGAGGCTGAGGCAGGAGAATCGCTTGAACCCAAGAGGTGGAGGTTGCAGTGAGCTGAGATCACACCACTGCACTCCAGCCTGGGCAACAGAGCAAGACTCCATTTCAAAAAAAAAAAATAGTTTATCCTTAAAGCCAATATCTTTAGTAAAATTCTTAAAAGTAACAAAAAGAAAAAAATATAGAAAAGCTGTACATTCCCCACAGAGATTGAAGTTAACCTTAAAATAGAATAAGCACAGTACTTAGGGTTACAAATACTTTATTTAATAGGTTAACAGAAATGTATTAAAATTTAATGCTTATGGTACATTAAGAACTTTCCCTTGTGATTCAGGAACCAAAAATCCAAAACCAACCAATTATCACTGAATAAAAAGAATTTTTGAAACTAGTTTAATGAAATATATTGAGTTCTAAATGCAAAAGACCTTCTTTTACTCTGGTCACAGAAATATTCATGTCAAAGGGATAAAGTGAATGTATGCAGTAAGTAAATGAGCTGAAAGACAAAATGTACCATTCTTTTAGGGAAGCAGATGAAGAGTCTAGCCCACTAGCCCACTCACCAGATGTCCGACTTTGTGTCATAGCCTTGGTGTTTCAGAGCCTCAGGACTCATATAATGGGGAGTTCCAGTTAAAGTTGTGGCCAGGTCACAGGATCCCATTAGAAGTCGAGAAACTCCAAAATCTCCTTGAAATAATAATTAATTTTTATGAATACTTTAAGCCAACGAAAAATTAGCCCTGGAAATTAACAACTGAATGAGTGCCTAATTTGACCATTTTATTATGCAATGGTTCATAGCATTTTAACAGGAAAGAAAAGTAATATATCTTAAATTATACAACGCTGGTAAATAGTTTTAAAAACATAAGTTTTATAGAAGGAAGACTTTGAGCCAGGAAAGTGAATTATGTAAGCTAAAATTCTTTATTTCTGGAATTATGGGAAACTAGACAATTTGATATAAAAAGCTATTTAAAGTCTGAATAATGGCAAACAGAATGATTTTGGAAAAACTGAATAAGATGATATACAATTTCACCTGAGGGGAGAAGAATTTGTTCTTAAATTTACAATAATGGAGCGTTTTAAAGAAAAGATCTGAGACTATTTAAGAACATGACTATAAAAATTTGAATCTATCAGCTTTTTAATACTTGCCTAACTAGTTGCACACTTTTATTCCTTCCTTCCTTCCTTCCCCAAGTACACCCTATATGATGATTAGATGATCCAGTAGCTGTTATGAGGAGAGGTACAGTTCTGAAGAACTAAAGGTTAATAAAGCCATTATATCAACATTTTCATTATCTATAACCACTTATTGCTTGTGATGAAATAATATAAATGAGAAACCTGTAGTAACTAATCAAACCAGTAAAATGATTCTAATAACTTGTAAAGTGCCTGGCATGAAACAGGGAACTCAAAGTATATTTGAAAAATCTATCAAATATGTGGTAAATTTGTACACCTCAATTTATATCAGATACTCAGAAACAAAACAATTAGGTTTTGTTGGGCCCATCTAGAAACCTGAGAAATTTAGTGTTCATTTCAGCAGCACATGTACTTAAAAATTTGAGAAATTTAAACAAACCAATGATTACTCTAATACTTCCACGTACCATTTACTTCAATTTGATATGATAATATCTAGAATATACTGTTCTGCGTTTTTGGAATTCATACTTTTTAAAATCTTACCAATTTTAAGGAGATTATTTTTCAGAAATACATTCTTTGACTTTAAGTCTCGATGAAGTATCCTCCTACAAAAGGCAAAAAAGATATACAACTTCATGCAGAATATAACATTTTTAAATCCCCATGTAAATAATATATGTTGTTGCACATGATTTACACATAAATATATACTCCCATAGATATATCTTTCAATGTTTAAAAGCTACAAAGCCACAATACTTTCCAGTTTCCCTGAGGAAACAAAAGTTTTAAAATAAAGATTTTAAAGGTTGGGGAACATGTAGTTTGGAGAACGGTGATATGCTTTCAACTATTTCAATAGGCTATATTTTATTATGTTTTTGTAGCATAATCTACATAGTACTATATCCAGTAACCATATCCTCAATTGATAGACCAGTTTGTAATCTATTATTACCCAAATGTCCAAGTTTTATATACTTGTGAAAATAATAACGTTGTTGATGATATTTAAGAATAGGTAACATTTATTAAATCTGACTATAAGTCAGTAATGTAAATTATGTCAGTTAAGACCTTTATTTTATGGAATTATAAAGAACTAGAAAACTTGAAAATCTTTGCATAAAAAAACTAAAATGCCGAATAAAGTATACAAATATCTTCATATATGCACAGTTGAGCTCACATAAAAATGAAAAAAAATCCCTGCGAATTATTCAAAAAGAAACTGAAAGTCATTCTAGGCCATAAAACATTAACAAATTTGAAAGAAGAGAAATCATACCATTTCTGCTCTCACATCAAAATGGAATCAAACTAGAAATTAATAACAGAAAGATAACTGGAAAATCCCAAAATATGTGAATATAAAACCACACACTTCTAAACAATGAAGAAGAAATCTCAAGAGAAATTTTAAAATATTTTGAACTAAATGAAAATGAAAACACACTTTATCAAAATTTGTGTGATATAGCAAAAGCAGTGCTTAGAGGGAAATTTACAGCACTGAATATATATATTAGAAAAAAAGAAAGATCTAAAATCAGTTATCTAAGCTTCCACCATAGAAAACTAGAAAAGAAAAGCAAATTAAACCAAAAGTAAGGAGAAATATTACAGCAGAAATAATAAAATTGAAAACAAGAAACCAATAGAGAATATCAACAAAAATAAAACTGGTTCTTTGAAAAGATCAATAAAATCAACTAGCCTCTAGCCAGCCTAAGTAAAATAAAAAGATAGAAGACAAAAACTATTAAAATCAAAAATGAAAGAGAGGGCGTCACTACAGATTCCGTGGACATTAAAAGAATAAAAAAGCAATACTATTAACAATCTATAACCACAAATTTGATAACCTAGATTAAAAGAACCAATTCCTTCAAAGACACAAGCTGCCAAAAATCATACAAGAAGTAGACAATCAAATAGGCCCATCTTCAGTAAATACATTCAATCAATAATTAGTAAGTTTCCAAATAAAAAACACTGGGCCCAGATGGGTTCACTGGCGAATTCTACCAAATATTTAAGGAAGAAATTGCACCAAATATCTATAATCTCTTTCAGAAAATAAAAGCAGAGGAAATACTCCCTAACTCATTTTAAGATGTCAGCATCATCCTAACATTAAAACCAAACAAAGACATTACAAGAAAAGAAAACTAAAAACCAGTATCTCTGATGAATGTAGATGAAAAAATCCTCACTGAAATATTAGCAAATCAAATCCAACATTGTAGGCCAGGCGTGGCAGCTCATTCCTGTGGTCCAAGCACTTTGGGAAGCCGAGGTGGGTGGATCACCTGGGGTCAGGAGTTCGACACCAGCCTGGCCAACACGGTGAAACTCCATCTCTACTAAAAATACAAAAGTTAGCTGGGCATGGTGGCAGGGGCCTGTAATCCCAGCTACTTGTGAGGCTGTGGCAGGAGAATCGCTTGAACCCGGGAGACAGAGGTAGCAGTGAGCTGAGATCACCCCACTGCACTCCAGCCTGGGTGACAGAGCGAGATGTTGTCCAAAAAATATACATATATATATCCAACATTGTGTCAGGAGAATTATACACCACAACCAAGTGGGATTTATACTAGGTATGCAAGGCTGCTTTAACACTTGAAAGTCAATTAATGTATCCATCACATCAACAGAATAAAGAAGAAAAATCACATGAAAAAATCAATAGATGCAGAAAAAGCAATTGACAAAATCCAATACCCATTCATGACAATAACTCTGATAAACTAGAAACAGGAATATTTATAACAAACCTACAGCTAACATCACACTTTACAATGAGAACCCTGACGTTTTTCTGCTGATATCAGGAACAAGGGAAAAATGTCCCCTCTAATCATTTATTTTCAACATTATACTGAAAGTCCTACCTAATTAAGTAAAACAAGAAAAGGAAGTGTAAAAGGAATAGAGATGGGAAAGGAAAAAACAAACTCTCTGTTTACAGATGACATGATCAGCTAAGTAGAAAATCCAAAAGAATCAATTAAAAAAACCTCCTGGAATTAACAAGTAATTAATTCTGCAATGTTGCAGAATACAAGGTTGATACACAAAAATCAATTGCTTTCCTATATACCAGCAATGAACAAGTAGAATTTGACATTTATATCAAACTATATTTACATTAGTACCCCTGAAATGAAACACTTAGGTATAAATCTAATAAAATATGTACAAGATCTATATGAGGAAAGCTACACAACTGTAATGAAAAAAAATCAAAGAAGAACTAAATAAATGGAAAAATAATCCATGTTCATGGATAGGTAGACTCAATATTGTCAAGATATGGATTCTTTCCAAATTGATCAATAGATGCAATGTAACCCCAATCAAAATCCCAGGAAGTTATTTTGTAGACATTGATAAACAGATTCTAAAATTTGTATGGAAAGGCAAAAGATCCATAATATTGGGTCTTTTGAAGGAGAACAACAATGTTGGAGGACTGATACTACCTGATGTCAAGACTTTCTATAAAGTACAGTAATTAAGACAGTACA